>NC_000001.11:237850788-238002303 GCF_000001405.40 Homo sapiens
TTGTATTTTCAGTATAGATGGGGTTTCACCATGTTTGCCAGGCTGGTCACAAACTCCTGACCTCAGGTGATCCACCCACCTTGGCCTCTCAAAGTGCTGGGATTACAGGTGTGAGCCACTGTGCCAAGCCAGAAAGTTTTTTTGAGCAAACCTTTTTTATGAGAAGGTGAACTCCTGAAAGTCAATGTTACCACTTTATTCTGCTTGTATCCAGCAATGCTTAGAATAATTTTCAATAAGTTATAGATGCTCAATATATGTTAAAGGAACAAACGACTTGCCATTTGAGTTTGTGATGCAAGTAGAATTTCCAGCTCTATCTTACAAAAATGTTTTCTGGTCGACTGGTGTTTTGGCTCTCTTGCCAGGCACCACCCATTGGAATGGCCTTGGTTTACTCTTCATGAGGCTGTGGATTAACTCCTAAGTATCTTGGGGCTTTTCCTTATAAAGACACGACCATAAAAACTGGGTCACAGTTCTCTTGGAATTCTGCGTTCTACTGAAGTTGTTTCAGTGTTGGTAGTGGAGCTTTGCAACCTAATTAACACCATGGGAAAAGGCATTATCGGCCAGGGAAAAGCAATTCAACAGAGCTAAAGATACATAGCATGACTACAGAGGAGACAGCAGGGGGCGCCAGTGGAGCACTCGTGAGGCTGCTTTGACATCACTTCCAGTATCTATCAGCATTCTGTTCCTAATATAATTATTATACAACCGTGTTGCACCACATTGAGACAAGTTGACTGCTTACTTGAAGGAGATGGTAAATGAATATGGACAGGATATCTCCTTGCCACAACTCTGATTTTATTGTTTCTCAGCTCATATTTTAAAACTTTTCTGAAGTGGCTTCATTCACTCATCTCCTATAAGCATAATTTTCTCCCCCACCCTTTTGCCCTAAAAAAAAGTAAAAATCAACACTGTGATGACTACCTGAATGTTGAATACCTTGGAGTTTAATTTATTCATAAATTTGGGGGTTTGCTGCTACTTCATTAAAGTATATTTCCTCTAATTTTTTAAGTCTATCTTGAAGTTAGATACTAATTTTTGGTTGGGAAAAGAGGGAAGGGCTAAATTGCAAGTTTTATGTACTCTCTCCATAGCTGTTTGGATTATTCTGGTAGATATTCCATTTGATTATCCATCAAAGTACTGAAGAAAGGAGGTGGCTTGTCTTGGTGGCAGCTGAAGATTGTTCATGTTATGATATTCACACTTCAAACTGCATCTCAGTCGTATTAGTAATAAGCAATAGAGCAGAGACCTCAAAGACTTAGCATTGCATTAGGTATTTCAGGTGTGATTCTAGGTATCACTACTTAATATATTCATTTAGCAGAGAGTTACTAAATACCTTTCTATTGGACACCAGGCTGGGTACTTTGGAAACGGGGGTCAACAGAATATGGCACATTTCCTAACCCATTTAAATCTCAGTTTCCATCTCTGTAGAATGATGATATTATCTTACCTCATTGCATGTCATGAGAATTAAATGGTAAAGCTACCAATATTAGTATGTACGCGAACAATGCTCGGTAAATATTAGTCTTTGCCATACAGACTTTTTAGTAGTCTGTATCCATGTTTCAAACATGGTAAATCAAATACATTGATTCTCCTTGGTGCTTTTAGTTGATTTAGTAGTTAAACATTTTGCAAAATCTAATTATGGTTAGGGTTTGAGATTACATTCTAGCTGTCTTCACAATGGGCTTGAAATAAATGGTGTGTGTTCGAGATGACGCTTTCCTTTGGCACAGGAAGTTTATGGTCTTTTCTATTCATTTATCATTTTACTTGCTTCCTGGAAACCGATAACCTCTAAAAGCTTCTCTTTTGTTCCTTAACTGGAATTTCTCTTCCATATTATTTGCATGTCTTCCACCTAATGTACCCAAATCAATTATGAAGCAATTATTTTTAAAATGTCCCTTATGAGAATGTAAAGAAGGAAATGGATCACAGTTTAAATATGTTAGCTGTGGCTCATGCCTGTAATCCCAGCACTTTGGGAGGCCAAGGCAGGTGGATCACCTGAGGTTGGGGTTCGAGACCAGCCTGGCCAATATGGTGAAACCCCATCTCTACTAAAAATACAAAAAATTAGCTCGACGTGGTGGCAGGCAACTGTAATCCCAGTTACTCAAGAGGCTGAGGCAAGAGAATTGCTTGAACCTCGGAGACAGAGGTTGCAATGAGCCAAGATCATGCCACTGCACTCCAGCCTGGGTAACACAGCAAGACTCTATCTCAAAAAATAATAATAAATAAAAGTGTTGGTAGGCTGCTTTTCTTTTTAGATACATCCCAAAGGACCTTCCCTCCCTGCATCTTTTTCTTGTTTCTGTCAGGCTCATCCTAAACTTTTTGCCACATCTTCAACTCCAGAGCTGCCAGTGTTAAACTTGAGTCACTATTGGATCAGGGAATAAAATGTCTTTCTTTTCTTATCCATAATCATTTTTATTGAGTTGCAGCCAAATATATCCACAGCTTGCAGTTACATCCCTCATTCATACAAATGTCCTTTTAGCATAACCTTCTTGTCAATATATTGCTTCCAGCCTCTAAAGTAAACTTTCTGAATTGCCATTGTTTCTTAATGCTTTGACCTTGGCTATCCTCCATCAACACTTTACCTTCTGTCTTCGCTTCTTGTACTATTTAAACAGCATTAGTCTCACAAATGTTCCTTTCTAATTTCTGTCCTACCACCAACCTTGTGTCTTCAATGCATGCCACCTGCCTCACTGAAACATCCATTCAGTGAAGAACCTCCTGCCTTTCTCACACCCCCACCAACACCACACAGCATTATCTAGAATATCAACTTCAACCAAGCTGTCATTGTCTTATAATAGAAACAGCATAGAGAGATACTATAAAGCTTATCCTCCTCCAGAAATTGCAATACATTTGAACTTTTTTTATGGCTTTAGACTGAATCATTTGAAGCTCATACCCCCACGACATTGTCCTAATATGTTGCACTCTTCCTAAAAACATCCTCAGGGGTAGAGAAATCACAGCTGATGGAACTACAACCATGTGCCTATAGTTTATTAGGTTACTAGCTCCTATTTCTTCCAGGCTAGAGGATTGTTTTGCCTCAGGTCAATACACAGTGCTCTTTTGTTAGCTCAGATTGTGAAGGTCATGTTTTCTCTACATCTGAATATGAACCTTCTCCTGTGTTAGCATCGGTGTGATTTTTAACCAGAGTCAAGTAATTGATTTCTGAAGACACCCTGGCCTTTACATACTTGCATGTCTTACTTCATGTAATTTTCTCTTGCTTTTCAAGTACATGATTAGCCACAATGTGATAAGTATATAAATCAACTGCCTGCCCTCTAGGACTTCTCACATTTAAATGTAGACCTAAATTACTTTTGTTACACTGAAAAGATTTGAAAATGCTCGGTTGAATCACATTCAAGCCACTTCAGAAGGCTGCAATAATTTCCTACATTGCCGAAGGAAATTATTCTCCCAAATACATTCCGGTTTGTTTGTTTGTTTGCGATAGAGTCTTGCCTTGTCGTCCGGGCTGGAGTGCAGTGGCACGATCTCAGCCCACTGCAACCTCCGCCTCCCAGATTCAAGTGATTATCTTGCCTCGGCCTCCCGAGTAGCTGGGAGCCATCACACCCAGCTAATTTTTAGTAGAGACGGGGTTTCACCATGTTGGCCAGGCTGGTCTCGAACTCCTGACCTCAACTGATTTGCCTGCCTTGGCCTCCCAAAGTGCTAAGATTACAGGCGTGAGCCACACACCCCGGCCAACATTCTGTTTTGTAGAAAGCATTCCTTCACTACCTCCATCACCCAGGTTTTGAAATCATCCAGCTTCCCACTGTGAAGGGCATTCAGAGTCAATGGCTGAAGTTTCAGACAGTCACTTGCTTCCATGGAACCGTGGCAAAATGCGTATCGTGGTTTAAGCAAACTTTCCTAATGCTTTATGAGAGGGACATCTCACCACTGTTAGCCTTAATAAGACATACATTCCTCCCCAACTGATGACTCCTCTTAATGGTTCAAATGTGTGCCACATACTTGAGAAAGCAGGTTCAAATGATTTTGGAAAATTTTTCAATGTTCTTTGAAATCATTGATAACACCCAGAGTAGCATTAAACACTGTGGGGAATCACTTGTTATCTTTCTAAACTTCAGCTGGAAACGAGTAGATCAGATAGAAGACCTAAGAAAGGGTTGCGCCACTTGTGAAATAATAGAAAATAAAAAGGGCTCATAGTATATGTGTCGATTGCATTTCCAGTGCCCTGTTCTAATCGCTATGCAGTCATCCATAACTTAATACGTTCTGAGAAATGAGTCCTTAGGCGATTTCACCACCGTGCAAACAAACGCAGATGCTGTAGCTTACAGCACGCCTCGGTTAGGCGTATAGCCATTTAGCTCCTAGGCTACAAACCTGTGCCCCATGTTACTATACCAAACGCCGTAAGCAACTGTAACACAATGGTATTTGTATATCTAAACATAGAAAAGGTATAGTAAAAAAATACATACATTACAAAAGATAGAAAACGGTACATCTGTCTAGGACACTTACCATGAATGGAGTTTACAGAACTGGAAGTTGCTCTGGGTGAGTCAGTGAGGAGTGGTGAGTGAATTTGAAGGCCTGGGATATTGCTATACACTACTGAAGACTTTGTAAACACTGTGAACTCAAGTTCCCTGAAAAAAAACATGGAGAAAAGAAACTATTCCAGCGAAGAGTTTGCAGCCTTAAGTGTAAAACGAAGGGGTGTTCCAGAGGAAAAAAAAAAAAAAACAAGGCCCTGGTTTTATAACAAAAGTTCCCACCTGGGCTTCCAATCAGGTCCATGTATGCAATGAAGACTTGAAACTTGCTTCGTTTTGATTGGTCAATACAGCTGAATCCTAATTGGGTGATACAGCTGAGTCCTGATTGGCCAAGGTAGGTGAGCTGTGATTGGTTGATTTAGGTGAACGCTGACAGTCTTAATAACAAAAAGGTGCAGGTTTTCAGGGAACTCAGTACCTGTGTGATCCCTAGTTAACAAATGACCACTTAGCTCTATTTTTAATTTAGGATCAGTTAGCCACTTGGGATGCATTTGAAGGATTGGCTCTTTCGGATTCACATTTTTTGACAACTGTATACTTAGGCTACACTAAATTCGTGAACAATATTTTTCTTAAATAAATTAACCTTAGCTCACTGAAACTGTTTTACCACATAAACTTGAATTTTTAAGGTTTTGACTCTTTAGTAGTAACTCTTGGCTTAAAACACACATTGTATAGCCATATAAAAATACTTTATTTATGTCCTTATTCTATAAGCTTTTTTCTATTGCTGCTGACATCAAAATAAAAATGTAGAGATAAATCTCTAAATTTAAAATTTTATTTTGGAGGAAAGAATTGCAATTCAGGAGCCGGGCAGAGTGGCCGATGCCTGTAATCTCAGTGCTTTGGGAGGCTCAAGTGGGAGGATCGCTTGAGGCCAGGAGCTGAAGACCAACCTGGGCAACACAGCAAGAACTATCTCTACAAACATAAAAATAAAAAATAAGCCAGGCATGGTGGCATGGCCTGTAATCCTACTACTCAGGAGGCTGAGGCAGGAGGATAGCTTGAGCCCAGGAGTTTGAGGCTGCAGTGAGTGAGCCATGATCTATCTCACTGCTGCACTCCAGCCTGAGCAATGGAGTGAGACCCTGTCTCTTTAAAAAAAAAAAAGAAGTTCAAGACATATCCTCATCCGGGTAACCTTCAGTATGTCTGAAGAACAAAGAGAAGGTTGGGGGTTTTATAAAGAAAAAAAGAGGGATGTTTTGTGTGGTCCTGAGAAAAAGTTCACTGATATTAGTAAGGTTTTGGCAAGCTCCGATGGATGGGCAATGGCAGTGGGCAAAATTAGTCCTACAGCTGCAGCAAGTTATCTCAGCACCTGTAGATGAAACTGGTTTTGGGTTACAACAGGCAGTTTCCTTGCAGAGAATAACATTTCTAGAGCAACATTATGTATCCTGAGTGGTTTTTCCTCCTAGTTCCTCAACTCTGATATAGTTGGGTATGACAAGAATGACCCTATTCATATAGGATCAACTTTCACACTATTTTTAAAAGTTTTTATATGTTAGTTTACTTTTAAACTTTTTTGTTAAAAAGTAAGACACTCACACACACATTAGCCTAGGCCTAAAGAGCGTCAGGATCATCAAGATGTCACTAAGCAATAGGAAGTTTCCAGCTCTATGAAAATCTTATGGGACCACCATCATACATGTTTTGTTGACTGAAGCAGTTGTTATGTAGCACATGACTGTATTTCTATGCAAGCGTCTACCAGCTTGCCTGGCCTGCACCATGTATCTCTTGTTTTATGCCCTGGGCTTCTCTGATGCTGCAGTATGAGATGCTGGAGGTGACCCCCTTGGAGCACAGACACCTACAATCTGAAGAGTCTTATGCTACGCAGCCATGCTTGACGGATGGGGGACCAGAGCCAATGAGTAAATTCTGCCCTTGTTTTCCCCTGGAAGGACGGCTCAGAGCATACAGAAAGGCTTCTCAGAAAATGGCATGGGAGATGTTGGTCAAAGGGCACACACTTTCAGTTAATAAGATGAATGACTTCTGGTTATCTAAAATACAGCATAACTTAAAAAAAAAAACAACTTCAAACACATTAAATTTAACAGAGTTTAATTGAACAAAGGACAATTCAAGAATTGGGCAGCCCTCAGAACCAGAACACAGGTTCAGAGGATTCAGCTGCTCAATGTGGGCACGCAGCATTTCTGGACAGAAAACGGAAGTGAGGTCCCGAGACAGCTCGATTGGTTCCAGCCCAGCGTTTACCTTATTTCCACATAGTCCGATCGGTTAGCTGCCTATGATTGATTGACTAAGCTCAGCTGCTGTGATTGGCTGAGATTCAGCTACTTGTTACAAAAGTATACTCCTAAGTCAGGCTTTCAGTGAGTTTAGGTTCTGATATGGTTTGACTCTGTGTTTCCACCCAAATCTCATGTTAAATTTTAACCCTTCATGTTGGGGGAGGGAACTGGTGGGAGATGATTGGATCATGGGTGCAGTTTTCCCCTTGCTGTTCTCATAATAGTGAGTTCTCTTGAGATCTGGTTGTTTGAAAGTATGTAGCCCTTCCCCTTTCGCTCTCTTCCTCCCCCTCCAACATGTGAGGATGTGCTCGCTTCCCCTTCGCCTTCTGCCATGATTGTAAATTTCCCAAGGCCTCCCAGCCATGTTCCCTGTACAGCCTGCAGCACTGTGAATCCATTACACCTCTTTTCTTCATGAATTACCCAGTCACGGGTAGTTCTTTATGGCAATGTGAGAACAGACTCATGCAGGTACTAAGTTAGGTTGCAGTCCGTTATGTAGAGACTCAAAATATGAAGGCCAAATTTAGTTTAACATGCCTATAATTCAAAACATTGTACTGTATGCTTCAAATTTACTAAGAGAGTAGATCTTAAGGTAGCTAGCTATGTGAGGTAACAGATATGCTTATTAGCTTGTGGTAATCATTTCACGATGTGTATCCATATCAAATCATCACTTTGTACACCTTACATATATATGCTTTTTTGAGTCAGCTATACCTCAGTAAAGTTGGGTTGGGGGGGAAGTAAAAGAAAGTTCCATGGGATGGAGCCCCTGTCCGTTGGAGCTCTAGCTGCCCTGGCAACATGCCCTTGCAGTACCTCTCTCTCCTGTTTCCCTCCCACTGGTCCCTCACTCCACTCCCTGGGTGACATGCAAACATTTGCATTACATATTGACGTGCAAACTACCTGCTCACAAGTCTTTGTGCCAGTCTCTGTTCTCAGGGGAATCTAGGCTAAGACACTAATTGTTTAACCAGTTCAGCAACTGCTCAATTAAACCAACTGGATAGCTTGGACCTCTCTTACTACCAACTATCTTTCTCCTTTGGAAGGAAAATGGAAGGCGGCCACAACAGGTATCCAGGCACAAGAATTCCCAGGGCCACCCAGCTACACAGACATGTCAGCAAAACAAAAGATTCACAAACTAATCATCATCTAATGAAAGAAACTAAATCAGTAATTATGATAAAATCTCCTGGGGTAGTGAGAAAGGAGGAGGAAAGTGGCTTTAACAAATGCATATTTAATGACTTAGCAAGATAAGATAATTAGGCATAGTCTGCAGAACGGTGGGTTGGGGGTGGTTGTGGTGGAAAGACTGCCACAAAACTGTGAGATCAAAGCTCATTTATAAAGTAATTAAATCCCGGGTACAGCTGTTGCCCAAAGGAATATTCATTTTCAAAAAATTTTCATCTTTGACTCAACTTTTGAAAAGCTGGTTATGCCTAAGCCTTAGGGCACGTTAGGAAATCCAGCTGGATTTGGGAGTCGATACTCAACAGGAAGAGCTGAATTTGCATCCTAGGGCCTTCTTGCTCCAGCAAATGATGTGGGCAGTGAAGTTATGACAGGCTCTCTCTGTCTTCCTGTGCTTCAAATACCTTCCTCATTTAATACACAGTGGCCTTTAGAAGTAGGTATCTCCACACATGTCCACAGAGAGGGAACAACACACACCAGGGCCTGTTGCAGGATTGGGGGTGAGGGGACGGAACTGAGAGGACGGGTCAACAGGTGCAGCAAACCACCATGGCACACATATACCTGTGTAACACACCTGCACACTCTGCACATGTATCCTGTTTTTGTTTTTTAGAATAAATAAAAATAATTTTTTAAAGAAAAGTAAGCATCTCCATTTTACCATATCAAAAATGTGAGGTGGTTAGATTAGTTGAACTCAGACATGTTTCCATGTTTCACTTTGAGTCTTGGGTGCAGACACTGACAAGGGCTCAACTGTCATGATTCATTGCTGAAAGGGAAGAAGGTAAAGGAAGCTCTCATATCTTCCAGATGCCTTACACAAATGGCACATGTTGTATACAAATTTGGTAAGAGCTCTTTAACACATTTCCCATTTGCCTCGGAAATACTGCTCGGGCAGCGAGCTTCACTCGTTTTTCCTCTAACCAGGAAATGGGTTAAGCCCACAGATAGAAGTATGATTATTATATCGAGTTTTCCTACAAATAGAAAATAAATGTACTGGTCAGGGTTATTTAAGCATCCCCCTCCCATTGCCAATTACAGACTTCATGGGAAATTAGAGTTGCCATATTCTAGTTTACTCACCAGAGCCTTTGGAGTTTGTTTTGAGTTTGTGTCAATTCTATAGAAATGAATTAAGACAGAGGAATGGGAAGTGAAGCTTCTGGATCTGTAAAGCTTCTGGATCTGAAAGTGGCAAATGCCCCAGTTCTTTCTTTCTTCCAGGCCTCATTAGCTCTGGTCATGCCCTCCTCACAGAAGGCAGCTTAACCCTGAGTCTACAGGTTTCATTAAAATTGCTGAGTAATCGCATGAGAAAAACCCCTACGATAATAGGTATTGATCTTCTGGCATAGTTATTATGATTTTAAATTATAAATCACATCTAGTCAGGTATCAACCAACATCCACAAGGAAACTATTGGTTCAAAATGTATTTATGTATGTATGTATTTATTTATATTTATTTATTTTTATTTTTTGTTTTTGAGACAGAGTCATGCTCTCTTGCCTAGGCTGGAGTGCAGTGGCACGAGTTCGGCTTGCTGCAACCTCTACCTCCCAGGTTCAAGCAATTCTCCTGCTTCAACCTCCGTAGTAGCTGGGATTACAGGTGCGCGCCGCCACACCTGGCTAATTTTTTGTATTTTAGTAGAGATGGGGTTTCACTGTGTTGCCCAGGCTGGTCACGAACTCCTGAGCTCAGGCAATCCACCTGCCTGGGCCTCCCAAAGTGCTGAGATTACAGGCGTGAGGCACCGCACCAGGCCCAAAATGTATTTACTAAGTGGCATCTACATGCTGGTTGCTATGGGTACAAAGATTAATATTAATAGCAATAAAAAGAATAATATGTATATAGTGTATACTGTGTGCCAGGTACTATCCTAAATATACATATATATTTAGAATATATACATTTATGCTAGATGGGGTATGTGTGTATATAAATATACTTCTTTAATTCTCACAATAAAAATTATCTTCATTTTACAGACAAGGAAACTGAGGCAAAAGGAGGTTAAGTAACTCACTAGAGGTAAGACATTCTGAAAGAATTCACTCTGGTGGGGAACAGACACAAAGAAACCACACAACCATGTGATAATGCGATTACAGAACATGTAAGAAGTGCTCTTACAGGGAAGGAAGACAGCAAGGTGCGAAGAACACCTTCTGGAGGAGATGAGAAGCCTTCCTTAGGCAGATGACATCTGAGTGACTCTCGGAAAACGAAAAACAGCTTTCGAAATAGGACAGGCAGGGCATACAGGGCATAACAGAAAGAGGTCATCCAATCTATAGCTTTATTCATAATTGCATCATATTGAAACAACCAAGATGTCCTTCAGTAGGTGAATGGATAAACAAACCGTGGTACATCCAGGGAATGGAACCTTATTCAGCAATTCAAAGAAATGAATAATCAAACCACGAAAAGACATGAAGGAAACTTAAATGCATATTCCGAAGTGAAAGGAGCCAATCTGAAAAGGCTATATACTGTATGATTCTAACATATGCCATTCTAGGAAAGGCAAAACTATAGATAGAGACAGTAAAAAAGATCGGTGGTTGTCAGGGATTAGGGGTGTGTGGGAGGAGATGAATAGCAGAGGACAAGCAATTTTTAGGGCAGAACGACTTTTCTGTATGATACTGTAATGGATATATGACAATATTCATTTGTCAAAACCCATAGAAATTACAACACAAAGAGTGAACCCCAATGGAAACCATAAACTTTAGTTAATAAAAATATATCAATAATGTTCCAATTGTAGCACATGTACCACAGCAATGCAAGATGTTAATGCTATGGGAAACTGGAGAGCAGGGAGAGGAGGAGGAGTATATGGAAACTCTGTACTTTCTGCTCATCCTTTTTGTAAACCTAAAACTTCTCTAAAAATTAAACTCTATTGAAAGAGAAATAAAGGGAGAAATAGCCTTCAAAATATTACAGAGAGAGCATTATAGAAAGAGGGGCATTGAGTCTTCAGAGTGCTTTCCAAAACCTGAATTAATCGTGGAGTAGGAAATATTAAGTCATGAGTAATTTATAACTTAGTATAAATTATTAGTTCATTTTCCTTGCTGCTGTCATTAGCTGGTTTCAGGATGTGAAGAAATGAAGATTCCCTTGGCTGCAAGTGAAACCTAGCTCAGACTCCCTTCGAGTAAAAGGAAGTGTACTGGCTGACGTAACCTGGAAGTCCTAGGTGCCACTTCCGGCATCGCTGAATCCAAGAGTACAAATGAAGTCACTGTAATGCATCTCTCTACTCACTACTTCCTCCTTCTCTCCCTCCGTCTCCCTCCTCCCCTCTTTCTCTGTCGTGCCTCAATTCGATGCACTTCTATCAGGTTGTCTTTAAATAGTGTAGTGATAGCCCCTAGCAGGTCCAGGCTCATGTGATTTTTTTAGTTCTTCTGAGGGGAAACTGTCTTCTCTATGTACAGGGGTTCCTGGGAAAGACATGAGGCTGGAGAGCCAGGCTGGTAAACAGACAGCAGCCAAAGCAGGCCTGAGGATGAAGAAGCAGGTCACAGAGCAAAGTCACTCCATAGGAACCAGCTAGTGAGGTATATCACCATCACCCCTACCACTTCAGGACTCAGTGAATGGTACCCCGGTTACGCTTTGGCCAAAAAATAAGAGCAAGGACATTAGAGGCAATAGGGCCCTGACCTATGTACTGCTTTTCTTATTCTGCTGTGACTGAATACTGTGCCTCCAGCACCTATACCATTCCTATTTCAAGACTACTTTTTGAGAGTCACCTTAGTGGAGGAGACAATGAAACCCCCGTTTGAACAGGTACCAAATCCCACAGCTTTAACTCTATTTGTGCCTTATGTGAAAGGGTCACATGAATTTAAAAAATGTATATTCTAATTTTTCCCATTGTGTTTCTGCAGATCTTGCCGATCCAGAGTCAGTGACCCAGGCCGCAGTTTGAGAAAGTGATAGCTGATAGAATGTCCCTATGGCTGCCTTAGGACACTCAATAAGCATCTAGTACATGAGAAAAATTACATCTGCTTTGCCTCTTATTCTTCTCCAAGGACTCTAAGAATCTAAGTTGTGACACCAAGATAGAAAACAAGATAGTAAAATAATTCTCTGTTATCATCATCTTCTACATTAAATAACTCCCCTAGATAGCTCTATTGTCTAGAGGTCAGTGATGTCCACCAGAACTTTCTCCAGTGATGGGAACGTTCTTAATGTAGTAGCTACTAGACACACATATAGCTACTGAGCAGGAAGTGTGGCTAGTGTAAACTAGAACTGATTTTTAAATTTTATTCCAATTAATATGAATTCAAATTCTACACATGGCTAGTGACTGTCTTATTTGACAGCACAGGTCTTTACAGTCTAATGTTAACCCTTACTAACAGAATGTGCCCCACCCACAATTAAGTGGCCATGTTTTGTGTTACATGACCTTACCCTCCCACCTGATTGGACCACAGGCAGTTACCGGCCCCCAGGACAGCCAATCACAGGCTGCTAATGATCTATACTGTGAAACCTGACTCCATAGGTGAGCTACACCAATCATATTTCTCTCTTTGGATTTTGGAACTGGGAAATTGAGAGGGGATTGGCTATGGGAGCTGAGCTTACTTCATTACACAGACTCAGGGCCCCGGTGGTAACTATGGGCCACCTGCAAACTGGGGCTATGAGAAAACAGGAGTCCTGGTATGTGTTAAAAGGGAGAGCTGGCTGCTGCAGATCGGGGAGAATGGGGTCAGACGTGCTCACAAGAGCAGAAGCTGTGAGGGACCCTCACGGCCCATGAGAAAGAGGCAGGAAGCAGCCTTGGGTTTTCTCTTTGGGGCTTGGCTGTATTTCAGCATGTGTTTATGGCCGCTCACAAGATTCTCTTATTTATTTCCTGGAAATGCGCTCCCTTAGCATAAGCCAGAATGAGTGGAACTCTCTTTCCTGTCATCTAGACCACTTTTAATGAAATTATGATATTGTAATATAAATTATAAAGAAAAGCATGTTATGCACCCTAGAAGTCAATATATTTTTGAGCTGGAAGGAAATTAGGAATCATGGAGTTTAATCTCATCATTTTAAAGATGAGATGGAAGCTATTTTGAAATGTTGCTGTCTAAAGTCACAGAGCTGGTTTCTGAGAAATTTTCAAGTATTAATTTGCTTTCTGAAAGTTTGTTAGAAAAACCAAAATGAAACAAAAAAATCTGTCACTGTAGTTTTTGAGAGAAAAATAAAATACAGTAGTGGATGGATACCTCAGTTTTAAGATGAATCTAACTTTTTAACAGGGCTTACTAACCTAATGGGGTTTCGTTAATAGTTAAAATCCACATTTTACAGGTGTTTGCCCCTAAGTGAATAATTCAGGGTCTCTGTTTTCTGCAAAATATCCTCCCACCCAAATATTTCTGGGGGGCCATGGCGTGTCTCCTGCAGGGTATCGAGGAGAGCTTCCCCAGATGCTCTGCCTCCAAGCGCCACGTGGGGGCGCTGCCTCACCACTGCCTGACCTGCGCACGTGTCCGGGAGAGCGCTGACCTCCGGGCCAAGGCCACTGTGTACTGGCCATTTGCCAAAGCGGAGCTGGCCTCCGCGCGGTTCCCAATTAACCAAAGCCACGTGGATTTGTCATCAGAGCGTTCAAGTGACACGGCCGGGCCCTGCGCGTGTGGAGTGCCTGGTGAAAGCTGCTCCTTGGTTTCTGCTTCCAGCCATAAGGTTCAGACAGGAACCATGAACCCAAGGGCTGGATCAAAAATAAATGTGTCACACAGACAGCTCTCTGTGAGTTCCTCTGAGTCTCTGACAACCTGGGGCCACTTCCCACATCCCGACCTCTTCCTGTTCTCCAATACTGCTTTAAGCACGGTACAGCTTGTGTGCCAGCCAGTGCTACTTCAGGTGGAAAGCTTCCCCTCCCTCCCCTGCCTCCCACAGGAGGCTGGGCACCAGTCGCTGGCCCATGTTTCCACCTCTGATGCACTTCTTTTGGGGCCACACTCCTGGTCCTCTCCCCATCTCCTGCTGTCTGGGGAAAAGGAGAGGCTTACCAGATGAGTGAGTTAGAGAGAGGGGACAGAGCCCGGGGGCCAGTTCCTTCCCCTCTGCAGAGCTCATCTCTGCCAGAGGCCTCTGTTCCTGCCTCCAACACTCTTGAGCTGAGTTGCACAGGCCTTTGTAAAGGGGGCCTGCAGTTTTCCATCTCTGTCCAGGATTGTGTGAGCACATTTAATTCTGGGACGAAATCCTAATAATATTATTTTTGAGCCTCCTCAAGTTAAAACTCACCGCCTATGTACTTGACACTATATTAAGTGTTAAGGATTCAGAGAATACCAAGAAAAGCTGTAAGAATCTCCAGAGAGCTGGTGTCTGGGGAATAGGGACAGGAGGTGTTAGTGCCACTAACCAAGACTGGAGACATCTGCAGAAGAGGGTCAGGCCAAGTCAACCTTGGTCTAACACAGTTCGTGGCATTTTTGGTTTTTTAATTGATACTCTTTTTGAGATGGAGTCTTGCTCTGTCACCCAGGGTGGAGTGCAATGGCATGATCTCGGTTCACTGCAACCTCCATCTCCTGGGTTCAAGTGATTCTCCTGCCTCAGCCTCCCGAGTAGCTGGGATTACAGGCACCCGCCACCATGCCCGGCTAATTTTTGTATTTTTAGTAGAGATGGGGTTTCACCATGTTGGCCAGGCTGGTCTCAAACTCCTGACCTCAAGTGATCCACCCACCTCAGCCTCCCAAAATGCTCGAATTACAGGCATGAGCTACCATGCCTGGCCATGGACACATTTTTGAGTGAGGTTGCAATTTTATAATAGTGGTTTTTTTCTTAGTTGAGATTGTAATAGAATAATTTTAATGATATAATTGTTTTAATGGTAGAATTTAATGCACTGTTTTTTCCATATAGCATTGTGATTTCCAAGTGTAAAAATGTACACTAATAAAAGAATTTTTGAATTAAAGTAGCAAAAAAACTTTACCCTATTACTTGTATATTTCCTTCCAGTCTTTTTTCCCCTCTGTGCAGGTTTTATGTGCCTTTGATGATATGTTTGATTTTAATTCAACTGTAATTATTTTGTCATTTTCTATCCAGAGTTTGTCACTTAAGACTATCTTATGAGAATATTTTCATAGTACAGTCTTCATAAAGATAAGCAAAAAATGGTCATAATATATTTGACTAACCAAATATACTCTAGTTTAATGATTTCTCTATGTTTGGACAATTATTTCAGTTCCCTCCACCTTTTGCTACTATAAATTGACTAAAGGATAGAGCATTTGAAATCAGAAATAAATGGCTGTAACTCTAGCCTTGACGCTAGTAACCTAGGAGCTTTGTGTAAGCTCCTTAGTCTCCTTGAGTCTGTTTTCTGTGAAATGGGAATATGTAATTCTTACTTCATAGGTTATTTTAAGCAATAAATAAATGTTGTACACGAAGCACCAAGTACAATGCTTAACATCTAGTACATGTTTAATAAAAGTATTTCCTACCTCTCTTTCCTATGACATGAATACATAAATAAATTATGTGATTTCTGACAGGCCCTACCTAGCAGACAATTGCAGATCACTAGGGGAATATATTAGATAAGTACTTTGATGTATTAAGGCACCAGCATTTTACAAAACGAATGATGAAATTTATGTCTTTGGCCCAAAAGAGTTTACAATTTAGAGTTAACAATTTTCCACCTGTCCCCAAAACCAGTAGAAAGTTGAATAATAAACAAACCTGCATTCAAATGGATAACCTTCATGAGTCAGGCCCAATATGAGCTCTTCAATGAGTTTTCCTTTAGCATAGAATCTTTTCCCTTCATGATTGCTATTAAGATGTATTTGTTCATTTGTTCACTCATCTGGGCCTGGACCTGTCTAATAAGTCAGGAGGTGACTTGAGTCCACTCCTGAGTTTTGAAGATGGCATCAGCCTTAAGGAGGCTGCTTACCTTCCTCTTTGCTGGGGGGCTGGTAGTGGCAGGGGGAGGGCTTCTTACAGTATGTGTGAATGCTGAAACAATTTATATGTAATTTTGATTAAAGGCTGCCTGCTCTCCACTGGGAACTGGACCTCTGATGATGAACTTTCTCCTTGTGCCATCTACTCTTTCATCAAGCAAAGCTTCCTGAAGCATCTGCTGTATCAGGAGCTCTGCTAAGAGACACAGAAGAGACTGTGACTACCATTTCTATCAGGTAGCTGGTAGTCTAGTGGGGAGGAAGACCTGGGGTAAATTGCTGCTAAAGATAAGTACTATGATGGAGGCTTATCAAGCATTCATTCATTCAATGATAAATGTCTATTGATTATGAGACACCAGTCAGACCTGCACTGGAAACTAAGGATGCAGAGATGAGAAAACATTCTGGTCCTGTCCTTGTCCATCTGTCCATCCTGTCTAGGAGCTGCTTGGCACTACCAGCATTCTTCTCTCTCCTTTTCTCAGTGGAAATGAATTCAACCAGTGTTGTAGTTGGCCAGCAGTTTAAAATAGGACAGTGAATAAAACAAGCATTTTCCCCCTAGGAACTCAGACAGTTGGGGCTAAAGGATTTCACTCTTATCCCTTTGTACCAGATCCTGCCTTGAGGTAACCTGAGACGGCTGGCTTTTCAAATCCTGTGTGTTCTTTCCTAGCTGGAAGTTTGTTCTTCCTTTGTTTTAAAGTGGGGGGAAATTTATGTAAATGGATCTCAGTCATGCAAAGAAGATTTAATTGGTGATTTAGGGGTATAATCTTTTTCCTCCATTGAAAACTTGGAACTGGATTGTTCTTGTCTGAACCTAAACTGTTTTCTTCCCAGGAGTCCTGACTGATTGGGGCTCATCCCTCTTTGGCTGGGAGTCTAGTCCTGGGAGTGCAGGGCTTGTGTCTTCTCCTGTTGTGCTAATTTCCCCTCAAGGAACTGTGTTGGCCCCTTTACCTAAGGATGGAGAAAAGCCTGATATTAATTCCCACTCCTCCTTGAGGACAAAAGGGGAGGAAATAATAGAAGTGTGGGGCTTTCAAAGGGAAAGCCCTAATTCTAAATGATTCCACTAATTAGCCATAGGACCCTATACCTGGTCCCTCCAGGAACTGAGATGGACTGGGTGGGCGATAGGGGTGGGGTGTCAGGGAATTCTAGTGAAACCAGGGAAGGAAACCAACTTACATGTAGAAATTGGGATTTATAATCCTTTGGGTATATACCCAGTAATGGGATTGCTGGGTCAAATAGTATTTCTAATTCTAGATCCTTGAGGAGTCGCCACACTGTCTTCCACACATGCACACACATGTTTACTGCAGCACTGTTCACAATAGCAAAGTCTTGGAACCAACCCAAATGCCCATCAATGATAGACTGGATAAAGAAAATGTGCCACATATACACCATGGAATACTATGCATCCGTAGAAAAAGATGAGTTTATGTTCTTTGCAAGGACATGGATGAAGCTGGAAACCATCATTCTCAGCAAACTAACACAGGAACAGAAACCCAAACACCGCATGTTCTCACTCTTAAGTGGGAGTTGAACAATGAGAACACATGGACACAGGGAGGGGAACATCACACACCTGGGCCTGTCAGGGGTGGAAGGCTTGGGGAGGGATAGCATTAGGAGAAATAACTAATGTAAATGATGAGTTGATGGGTGCAGCAAACCAACATGGCCCATGTATACCTATTAACAAACCTGCACGTTGTGCACATGTACCCCAGAACTTAAAGTATAATAATAAAAAATAAATAAATAAATTGGGAGTCTGAAACCCCTTTGACTTCTGTGATCTGAGACACCAAAATAGATGACCCTTTGTTAACGAAGACAGATCCTGAGGTTAAGGAAATGAAAGTTACCTACAGGTTGAGGTCTCAGGGCTAGACTGGCATGGCAACTTCCTAAATTCCTATGGCTACAAGAAAAAACACACTTTTGCTAAACTCCCTAACAGTAGGAGCTATCAGGAAAATTGTCAGACACTTCCTAACTCTGCTTTACAATCCAGACTCGTACAACTCTGATTGGATAGAGGACCATCTTGCAAACATTCTTTCCTGATAAGCAACTGCAGACCTGAAGTCAGTTCCAGCCAGATCTAGAGACAGCGCACAAAGTGTCTTTGTGTTCTATAGTTCACCTTTTGATGTAGAGCCAAATTCTACCTCATTTTAATCTAAAACCCTGCCCCAAAGTAAACTGAGCTCTCTGTTACATGTGTGTTTACCCATTGTGCATACACAAGACTCCCCTCATAAATATGTATAGCTTTCCCCCAAATCTATGTATGATTCTACTGTGTAATATGGACCCCGTGAGGCATAAAAGCCAACCTGCTCTTCCCTCTTCAAAGAGAAATCACCTTCAGTACATGCCAGAGACAGTCTCTTCTGGTACTGCAAACTGATACCACAAACACAGTTCACCATTCTGCTGTTCAGCCACACTAGTGGTCTTTTGGATGATGATCTTTTCACTTTTCCTCTTTGGGGCTTCCTTTCGGTTTCCTTTGCCTTTAGTTTTGAAGTACAGCTTCTTTTGAAAACTTCACCTAACTCTCTCATATACTGCTGTATTACATTTTGAGAAACTGGGCAATATACATGTCATTTGACCCAGCAATTTCACTTGAAGGAATTTATCTCAAGGAATAACAAGTACAGTACATAAAAGTGTCTGTATAAGGGTGTTCATCCCTACATTGTTTATAATACTGTAAAGACTGGCCATGATATAAATGTTTACCAAGTGAAGACAGCACAATAAAGACTGGTATAGCCATACAATGGAATGCCATGTAGCTGTTTGTAAGGATATCTATATTTGTTTTAAAATATTTCATCATATATGGTGTGTTAAGTTATTCCTAAGTATAGCCATTGGCTCCCTTTGAAATTAAAACCCGTAGGAATGGTCAGCTAACATTGTCATCAGGAAGCTCTCACCCAGTGTGACCACTGTCAAGATCCTCCTCTTTCCCACCTCTTCATCAAACGTGGAGGCTTTGCTAATGGCTGGAGTGATTGTTAAGAATGGTCTTTATTGGCAAAATCAGTTATATTGAAGATTGGGTCTAATGAACTATTTGAAACCCTATATTTGCCTGAAAAAGAACATAAGAATGGAGCAAGGCCTGTGGCCTATGATGACACTTGAGATTCCATCCCAAAATCCAGGGGCCAGTTTAGACTCAGGTTCACCTTTAGACAGCACTCCAGTTGGGTCTGGATTCGCTTTCCTGGTGCCCAGACTGACCAAATTCTATGATATTCCGCATTGGCTACGTGAAGCTTTTCTGCACGATGGCAAAAGACCTAGAGTTGGGCTTTCCCCCAGCTCATGAAATAGATGACATGACTATTTTTGTGATCCTTTCTCTTTGTGTGTGTGTGCGTGCGTGTGTGTGTGTGAATTTGACCTTGTTTTCATTCGTGAGGGGAATAGCTGACTCTCATGATCTCAAAATTTTCTGTAGCTACCAATCTCTACCAAAGTGAACTTAAGGCATATACATGGCCAGATTGGCTAATGTCAGTTGGCCACACCATTTAATGATGATGCAGATTTACATCGTTAATGTGGAGATGTCTGTGATATATTGGTGCATTTGTTATCTGCTGCTGTGCAACAAAGTACCCCCAAGCTTAGTTGCTTAAAACAATAATTGTTTATCATCTATCACAAGTTCTGCAGATTGGGAATTCAGACAGGATGCTGTAGAAACAGCTTATCTCTATCCCGAAGTATCTGGGACCTGGATTCATTAGAGGTACATTCTCTCATATGTCTAGGTACGTTCTCTTACATAGCTAGGTGGTAATGCTGTCTGGCTGCTACAAGACTAGCTGGGACCACTTTACAGCATGTGGCTGGGACCCAGGGGCAGGTGTAAAAAGAGAGAATGAGTGAGTGCCAGATGGAAGCCATATGCTTTTTCTGATCTAGCCTCAGCATTAACCCCCGACTATTTGCAGCATGCTTGTTAGTTAGAAGCCAGTCACTAAGTCTATCCCATACTCAGGCCAGAAGAGAGAGTACTTTTTTTTTGAGGTGAAATTTTACTCTTGTTGCTGAGGCTGAAGTGCAATGGCGTGATCTCAGCTCACTGCAACCTCCACCTCCTAGGTTCAAGTGATTCTCCTGCCTCAGCCTCTCGAGTAGCTGGGATCACAGGTGCCCGCAACCATGCCCAGCTAATTTTTTTTGTATTTTTAGTAGAGACGGGGTTTCACCATGTTAGCCAGGCTGGTTTAGAACTCCTGACCTCAAGTGATCTGCCCACCTTGGTCCCCCAAAGTGCTAGGATTACAGGCGTGAACCACCATCCCCAGCTGAGAGAAGATTCTTAATAGCTCTTAGGAGTGAGGAGATTTTTCCAAATTCCCTCTGCAGGAATTCTCCAGCCTCAGAGCTGGGGTACTCACGCACTCACTCCAGAACCAGCTAGTAATAAGAGGGATGGGATTCCTCTCAGACAAAAGAGGCCTCCTCCCAGAACTGGGGTGGGGTCAGCATCACCTATGAACACAGATATACGGGGTGGAGTGGCTACCTGATTAAACGATGCTTCTTCAAGAAAGGAGGGGTGGGGTCAGTCCTAGATAGCTCATCAATTTTGCTCATTTTGTGGGTTACAACTTTAAGTTCTGCACGGCAAATAAGTATGTATTTAATAAGCATCCGTTGGTGATAAGAATGATGGTAACACCAGTGAGGATGACAATATGGAGAACTCTGGTTGGTTGCACTTTGTGTGCCAAGTACTGTGCTAAGCTCATTAAATGTATCATACTTAAACCTCACAATTCTTTTCTATGTATTGATGTAATTTGATTGTTCCAATATCCCAAAGTATACTATGAAGCTTTATGGGAAGAGTACATTTTGAAAAGGGGTTGCAGGAAGAGAGAAGTCATGTGCTCCAGGTGGGGAAGGGAGTGGCTATGAAGTTCCCAGCTAGTGACCTAAATGCAGTGTTCCATTTAACAACTGTCTTGGCATGTGTCTAGGTGGTGATGCTGGCTGGCTGCTAGGGAACTTGCTGGGGCCATTGGCCGGATAACCCACATGGCTGGGATCTAGGGGCAGGTGTTCTAACCTAAAGGGGGCAGCTGAAGACTCAGGGGCCAGGAAAGACAAGGAGCAGTTAGATGAAGGTAGTTATAGGGCAGCTGGTGGAGGGTCTTGAAGGTCTGGCTTGGGACTGATATGTGACAGAAGAGCTATTTTTGAGACAAATTGCTCAAATCCAAATTCCCAAAGTCTTAGTAGAAGCTGAACTGTAATAAGGTAAAAGTCAAAATAATATGTCACATTAGTGACTTACCCCACAGGTTGTTGGACTATCCCAGTTTACACAGATGAGGCGGCAGAGACAGTTACCCAAGCACACTGGGCCACAGAGTGGCTGAAAGGCAAAACCTCTCCTGCTGAGCTTCCAGGGGTGCTGAGATGCCAAGGCCACCAGCTTCCTCCTGTGGACCTATCCTGTGCGAGGACCTATAAAAAGAGATACAAAGCCGAGGGAGTTAAATGGAACACTGTGTTTGACATTTCCAACTCAAAGTGGAGAAAATCAAGAGAGCTACTAGAATGGAAAAGAATGGAGGCAGGTGCTACCATGGAAAGGGCACAGAATCAGAAAAACTCAAATCCAAACTGGGATTCCTGAGTGGATCTACTAGTGCCCTCAGGTTCCTGGGCTCTGTAGAAGGCAGGAAGTCATAGAGCAAACAGATAAATGAAATCTGGAGAGGAGATGTATGTGATGTCCTGGAAAATCGGGGATTTAAATTGCTTCTCTGTCATTTCTCAGACTTGTAGAACTGGGGGTGTTGCCAAGGTCAGCCTGCACAGGACTGGGATAGTCCATCAATAACAGTCATTTACTCACTATGTATGGAATATTTATTGAATGTTTCTTATAAAAACCACGTTCCTCTATCTAGCATCAATGTTAAAAAAAAAAAAAACCCTCAAATCTCATTTTTTAAAAGTGGGATAGTAATGTTACCTACTTTGTGGGTTATTTATGAGCATCACATAAAATAATCCATGGAAATTGCCTAAAGAGCGTCTGGCATGGTGTACATACTAAAAAACGGTAATTATTTTATGCTTTCTCAACAGTTTAGGGGTTAAAATGCAGAAATTAATCTTTTCCTTTTAACACCATCTGTTTTACAGAATAACCTTTCGCTTAGATAAGCTCACCACGCTAGACTCATGATTAATTCTGCACCTCATTGTTTTTCATTTTACCCAGTACATTAACATGAAATAAATATTTATCACAATCCTAATATTTAAATAACGCTGGCTTTGTGCTCCGCGCACTTTTCCATTAATATTTTCGGGTATATTTTTTCATCAGACCATCACTGGGGAAGTTCTCTCATTGTGCTACCACATTTCAATTATTAAAGTTTTCAAGATTTTTTCTTTTGTGGCCAAAGACGACAACTCCTGAGGTACCAGAGGTTAAATTTTGTACAAAAGGCCTAAAATGTCAATCTGGGAAACCTTACAATGTAAAGGCAATGGGGTGAAATAAGGAAAGGACTTAATCACAGGAAACACAGAACATCAAGTTGACTGGCCCCGAGTCAAGGGCACTGAGTCATCCCTGAGGTGTCTCAGGGCTTTGGTGTCATCTTACAAAAGTCACTCAAAGAGATTGTGTTAAGACTGTCTGCATGGTAATTGCAAAAAGGGTTGACTCATGGAATTTGTGACTTTGACAGAGAGCTGCTTCCCTGGCCCTCATTATGAATGGACTTATTCATAGGCACCTTCCCATCACCTCTCTGTAGCTTCCTGGGCAACAGCAAATGCCAGGAACAGCATGCTTGCAGGTAAGCAACCTTTTGAAGGAGACAGGGAAGACAGCACACAGAGCACGATCAAGACCCTGGAGCCTGATCTAATGGCAAAATGCAGCATGATGCAAGGGCCTCAAAGCACCCTTTACCACGAGTTCAGCCCTCCCCATCCCCTAGTGTTTACTATAGGGCTTTGCAAAAAGGCCGACATACACTATTTCTTCCCACTGTGTTCAAAACAAAGTCATTTTATAAAAGTGGTTTTCCCATATATACTTTACTAGGCCCTGTGAGAGGACACAAAGGAACATATACTGCTCAGGACTCCTGCAGGGCATCTTCTTCATCCTTAGCTAACATGTCCTTATTCTTTGTAGGCTACAGGTTTCCTGAACAAGAGACAGATACTGTGTGTGTGTGTGTGTGTGTGTGTGTGTGTGTGTGTGTGTGTGTGTGTAAAACCAACAGTGACATCTCTGTGCAGGGGAATATGAATGGAGTTACTTTTGTGTAAACTAAAGGGTAAACACACATGAAGCTTGTTTCTGGACATACAAGAAATTGAGCAGCAGTTACCTTGGGGGAGAGGAACTGGGAGTGGGGAATGGGATTTCTTTTCATGTTTTTCTATGGCTTGATTTTTTCCTAATTTGGTCATTGGCAGTTTTTTTGTAGGTAAAATTATGGGCCCTTTTATTGGCTTTATTCCTTTTTAATATTTAAAGATAGTATATAAATACTAATTTGCAATGAGACAAAAGACAGATACAAGTATTGGCAAGGATGTAGAAAAATTGGAACCCTCATATATTACTGGTGAGAATAGAAAACGGCAGAGCCACTTTGGAAAACAGTTATGAAGTTCCTCAAAATGTTAAACATAGACTTGCCTTATGGCCCAGATCTATTTTTAGGTACATACCAAGGAGAAATAAAAACATATGTTCACACAAAAACTTATACATGAATGTTCATAGCAGCAGGATTCCCAACAACCTGTAGGTGGGAACAACCCAACTGTCCTTCATCTTGTAAATGGATAAACAAAATGGAAAAGTAGATATTCAACCATAAAAAGGAATTGCTGAGTTTTGCTGCAACATGGATATAGCTTGAAAACATGCTAAGTAAAAGAAGCTAATCACAAAAAGCTACATGTCAATTTCATTTATATGAAACATCCAGAACAGGCAAATTTATAGAGATGAATTAGTGGTTGCCGTGGGCTGGAGAAAGGAGGGACTAGTAAGTGACTTATAATGGGTACAGGGTGTCTTTTGGTGTGGTGATGGTTGCAGAACTCTATGAATATACTAAAGACCACTGAACTGTATACTTTCAATGGGTGAATTGTATGGAATGTGAATTATATCTCAAAGCCATTTCAAAAATTATGAGAAACAAAGGCTAAGTATAGCTGCAACTGGATTTGTGATTTTTTGTTATCACAAAGCTTTTCATTTCTATGAGCCAAGGGTCCCATCCTGGAGACACAGGAGCTAGGGTGCAAAGAGGTTACTGACAGAGATGGGTAACCTGCTGGCCCGAAGCGGCCTCTCTGGTCACATATTGCTACATTAGGGAACAAATACGAACTGCTTAAAATCCAGCCATTCTCTGGCAACTTTCTAGACTCCTTTAAATCGGGTTAAATTATGTCATGGTTTGCTATGATTCACTCAGCAAATGTTCTGAGCTCCTGCTCTGTGCCAGGCCCTTTGCCCTAAACAAGGACAGCAGCATTTTTAGGAGGAAAGTCTGACTTCATAAGGTCTGGGTAGCAGAGCCTTCCGTGAAGGTGACTGGCAACAAAACCAGCTTTCTCAACAATCCCACCTTGCCTGTCTCAGGACTGCGTCAGGGGCGTTCGCCTCCCCTCTGTGAGGGAAGGGTGGCCAGTGGAAACATCTTTTCTGCTTTAACATTTTTAAAAGCATATTTTAATTGACAAGTATTTGTATTGATCATGTCCATTTTTTGTTTTTGACAGTCTCACTCTGTCACCCAGGCTGGAGTGCAGTGGCATGATCTTGGCTCACTGCAACCTCTGCCCCTCGAGTTCAAGTGATTCTCCTGCCTCAGCCTCTCGAGTAGCTGGGATTACAGGCATGCACCACCACGACCAGCTAAAAGTTTATTTTAGTAGAGATGGAGTTTCATCATGTTGGCCAGGCTGGTCTCAAACTCCTGACGTCAAGTGATCCACCTGCCTCAGCCTCCCAAAGTGCTGGGGTTACAGGCGTGAGCCACTGCACCCTGCCAATGTTTTGAGATGTATATGTTGTGGAATAGCAAAGTTGAGCTAGCTAACACATACATTACCTCTTATTTTTTTGTAGTGATAACACAATGTACTCTTAGCAATTTTCAAGAATACATTGTTATTAACTACAGTCACCATGTTGTAAAATTCTTTAACTTATTCTTTGTAGCTGAAATTTTGTATCCTTCCATAAACATTTCCAAACTTTTCCCCCTTATTTTCTTTGAAAATAATCTTCTAGGTGTTTTTGACACACATAAGATAAATTTAATGTTCTGAGAGGACTGCTTATAGACTGACGAGGGGATATAACAGTTTGAATGCTTGTGCCTTCCAAAACTCCTGTTGAAATTTAATTGCCAGGCTGGGCCGGGCACCGTGGCTCACACCTGTGATCCTAGCACTTTGGGAGGCCGAGGCAGGTAGATCACCTGAGGTCAGGAGTTCCAGACCAGCCTGGCCAACATGATGAAATCCCACCTGTACTAAAAATACAAAAATTAGCTGAGTGTGGAGGTACACACTTGCAATCTCAGCTACTTGAGAGGCTGAGGGGGGAGGAGTGCTTGAACCTGAGAGGCGAAGTTTGCAGTAAGCTGAGATCATGCCACCACACTGCAGCCTGTGTGATAGAGCAAGGCTGTCTCAAAAAAAAAAAAAAAGAAAAGAAAAGAAAAGAAAAGAAAAGAAAAGAAAAGAAAAAACAAAAGAGCCATTGTAACAGTATTAAGAGGTAGGACCATTAAGAGGTCATTAGGCCATGAGAGCATCACCCTCATGGGTGGGGTTGGTACCATTATAAAAGGGCAACTTTGGCCACTTCTTACTGTCTCCACAGCAAGGCAGCCCTCACCAGATGCTGACATCTTGATTTAGGACTTCCCAGCCTCCACAACTGGGACTCTATAAATTCTGTCCATTATAAACAACCTAGTCTGAGGTATTCTAGCGTCACAAAACAAAGACCAGATAAATTAACCGATGAGTCACATAACAATTGGTAAACATGGAATAAATATAATTCAGCCCCTTATTCTAATATTTAGATTAAAAGACAATTTGGTGGGTATAACTTTTTTCCTTGAGACAGAGTCTTGCTCTGTCAGCAGGCTGGAGTGCGGTGGCACGATCTCGGCTCACTGCAACCTCCGCCTCCTGGGTTCAAGCGATTCCCCTGTCTCAGCTTCCCAAGTAGCAGGGACTACAGGTGCCTGCCACCATGCCTGGCTAATTTTTTTTGTATTTTAGTAGAGACGGGGTTTCACCATGTTGGCCAGGATGCTCTTGAGCTCCTGACCTCGTGATCCATCTGCTTCAGCCTCCCAAAGTGCTGGGATTACAGGCGTGAGCCACCGCATCCGGCCAGGTACAACTTATTTTATCCAGTATCATCGGAGCCTATTATTCCACCACCTTTAAAACAAAAACAGCCTAGCTTCATGGAAGTATCCTTCCCAACCACTGTGCTTGAAATGAGAAATTTCACTTGATTTGGCCATTTCTTGTCATGGCCAAGGTACTTGGAGGTATCGGGGAAGGTGGCTTCCCTGTGGCAATGTCTACCACAGTGTCTTTCACATTAGCAAGGGTTAAAAAGCAGTACTTCTTGGAAAATGTAGAAAGAGGCAATTAAGTGGCACAGCTATCCAATCTCTGCTCCCTCTGGCTTGCAAATGTTGCAGTAAGGCTTAATCAAACCTTTATTAAACAGTAGCTGACATTTAGCCCTTAGAGGGCAGAAACGTGCTGTGGTGTAAGACACAAAAGCATATTGTCCGTTCACAGCATGAAAACCGAGCAAGAAATCATGGGAGTAGAGTTTCCAAAGGACAGCTGCAAATCAAGACCCGTGGAAAAAAACTGAAGGGGATTAAGAAGGTTCTAAGAACCAAAAATTTAGAGCCAGACAGCTAGAAACAATTGATAGTTTTCTATTTCAGAGGTGAGAAAGTTGAGTTCACAGAGATTACATCTCTGTGTCTGTATCTGGCTCTTCTGATCTGAATATTCTGAGTGAAGATGGGAGTGGCAGGGAACGTGACATTGTTAGAATAGGCTTCTTTCCAAACGGCTGCTATAACATCAGCTTCAACTTCTGGTTTCCTACCATTATTCTTGTTACCAGACCATGTAAACAAGTTCCATGTTGTTGGTTGTTGGACCAGAGTACTGACTTCATTTCCTAATATAAAAGGGAACTTTGTCCAAAATAAGGATCCAATAAAATGTTTCAATACATGGAGGGTAAAGTCAAGATGCTGTTTCCAGTCACCTGCCAGCTTCCTTAGGTTCTCAGGTTAGACTTCCAAGAAGCCAAGATAAATATTTCCCTGGAAAGTGACAAAAAGAATCTTAATGCTTCAAGAATTCAACTCCTAAGTTGTTGGTGACCAGCAGACTTCCAACTTCTCTCGATCTTGTTTATATACTATAGAATTTAATTGGCTTTAACACTATTGTATATAGCACATTTTGAGATGTGTATATATTGTAGGATGGCTGAATCATACTAACATGAATTACCTCACTTATTTCATAAGAACCCAATCTGTAGTCACCATGGTGTACAAAAGATCCCCTGAACTTATTCCTGAGTTTGCAGCCTTTGAGCAACATCTTTCCATCTTACCCTCTGCAAACCACAAGTAACCAACCATTCTACTCTCTGCTTCTGTAAATTCAAGATTACATGTTTAAGTGAGATCATGTACTTTTCTATACCTGGTTTACTTTAACATTTTCCTCTAAGTTCATGTCACAAATGACAAGATTTCCTTTAAGACTGAATAGTAGTTCATTGTATACATATACCACTTTCATCCATCTATTGATGGAAACTTTGATTTAGTATCTCAGCTATTGTCAATAGTGCTAATAATGACTATGGGAGTGCAGATATCTCGTCAACCTACCAATTTCACTTCCTTTGGATACATACACACTAGTGGAATTGCTGGCTCATGAGGGTAGTTCCATTTTTTGGAAGAACCTCCATAACATTTTCTGTGATGGCTATACTAATTTACATTCCCATCTACAGGGTTCAAGGGTTCCCTTTTCTCTATATCCTCACCAATACTTCTTTCCTTTTTGATAATAGCCATTCTGATGGGCAGGAGGTGAGCTCATTGGTTTTAATTTGCATTTCCCTAATAAATGAGAATGTTTAGCATCACTAGTCTGTTGGCCATTTGTATATCCTTTGAGATGTCTACTCATGTCCTTTGCCCATTTTTATTTGGGTTCCTTATTGAGTTACATTTTTGACATTAATCCCTTATTAGATATATGGCTTGCAGATGTTTCTCATTCCACAGCCTGTCTCTTCATTGACTTGGAAAGTCCCACCTTCTTGTGAGTCATACATGAACAGGAACACCCTGGCTAACACAGGGGAGGAGGGAATCTGACCTAATAGGATCTGTGGTTATAGACTCACAAGTGTCAAACTAGAGAGGTAAGAGGAGACAGACATATGGCCCCCTTTCTGAGTTTCACAGACAAGCATGATGAGGAGCTGACATTAGGCTAATGGAAGAATTTGCTTCCAAAAATAGGTGCCTACCCTCAAGAAATTTAGGGTAGCTAGAACTGTTACACAGCTAGTATGTAGGCAAGACATGGCAGGGGAAGCTGAGGCTGACAGCTGTGCGGTGGAAAGCTACCCCGCCATATTAAAATAGGAGGCTATGTTGCCATATCACTTACATGTAGAACACTTTTCTGGAAGATCAGTTAGCAAGAGGCACGTAAGGAATAAAGTGATTTTTCTCTAGGAAAAAAGATACAGGGATGAATTACATTATCCTGGATTGATCAGAACGATTTAGTCAGGAGGGAAAGAACTATCGGTTTAACTAGAAATGAGAAACTAAAGTTAAACCCATTTGGAGGATAGTGAATAAGTTTGGGGTAACAGTCTTTCGTGAGTTACTTGATAGAGGCTATTTAAAATTAGACAGATGCCTCCAAAAAGAGGTTTAATGGGGCCTCTGAGGGGAATAATCAAGTTTCTGGTTTAGCTATGAGACTATATTAAACTATAAGTTAATGGTTCTAACTGACTTTTCTCGAGTAGAAACTCAACTTCAAGCTAGATTTTGGCCAGAGACTATTCAGAGATGTTTTTGTCTTTCCTTGCAATATTTTCTCTGATCAGACTAACTTCTAATAGATTGTTTGAAAACCAGGAAAACTAAATCTGCAGAAATAGGTTCTGTAGAATTACTCTTATTCTGAAAAGAAGTTTCATGGTAAAATATGGGAAATAGGTTTTGCTCCCTTTGAAGGCATACCATGTTAATATAAACAGTCCCAGAAACCCTGCTAGAGAGAATCTGGCAAGTCCTAGGTAGAGGCTTAAGTATCAGGGTTTTCTTTGGTTAACTGCAGTAGCCGTTGGTTAGTACAGGTATTACTACCCTCCTCTTAGAGGGGCGAGTGGCCTTTATGCCAGGTTCTGCTAAAGCTTTCCTCTTTTGGAAACTCCGATTCCTGACTTGTCAAGGTCAGTTGCTTGAGAGGACCCTATATACTCGCTTTGTTTTAGAGGGATAGGCTAAAAACTTATGCCCGTATCTATTTCCTCATAGAAAAAGATGAGACTTAGCAATTCCCTTCTCCCATTTACCCAACTTTGTTTCCTTGAATCATCTGACATTTGTCAGAGTTGCTGAGGAAGCCTTCCTGTTCATTGCTTTATTCCCAATGCCTACTATGCTGCTTATATAGCCAATATACATTTTAATGGAGTAGATTTGAGTCATACAGCAACTAGCTAGAATAGCTCCCTGCCAGCAGCAGCTGTTGAGCACTTGAAGTTTGGTTAGTAGAATTTTAGTTTAAAACAGGTACTATTCAGCTATTGGAAAACAGTTGGGTATAAGTTTTCCCAACAATCTAATATCTAGAAGTACATCGTATTTCCAATTAATGTTTAACATTCAAAATTTGTTATAAGTATATTCAAGAGATTGAATAGGAAAGCAAAACCTTGAATATGATATTCAGTAGTAGGTTAAGTTTCATCTGATTGCCAAGTAAGTTACATGTATACTTGAGTTGCTTAACCTAGACACCAAAACACTACCCCACTGCAGTCAGAGACTATTCTTCTCTAAATGTCTGACTTCATTACAGGTCAACAGACAGACCTTTGCATGTAGCATAGCCATTATCTCCCCAAGCCATTATCTTTTCATAAGCCTGAGACAACCCTTTGTCAAGCTGCACCTGTGCCTACCGCTGGCAACTAGTCTTTCTGAGGAACTGAGTTTCAGTACCATGGGGAGTTAAGGGTGCAAGTTAGTGTTAAAACTTGAACTGGAATCTATCTTTTGTTGCTCAAGTGACCCTGGGCAAGTTATTTGATTTGTATCTTTCCCAGATTCTAGACGCTGGGGATGAATGAATACTATGTGATATTTTCATGAGGCTCAAGTATGTTAACATCAAGCTTCTAGGATAGTTTGTTGCGTGAAACACACGTATCCCTGTAAGGTCAGGGTTTACATCCTGCTTAGCAATTTGAAGTAGGGTTGGCTTGACTACAAAGCAGCTGTTCAGGAGTGTAACACCTTTACCTTGCTGAAAGGTCAATTTAGCAGTTATTCCCTGAAAAATAAGTAGGTGAAGTTGATAGAACCAGGATTAGTTTCAGAATTTCAGTGAGAATAGGAAGTACCCCAGAGTATGGCTGAGCAGCAGCATCAGTTATAAGAAAGTTCCTTAAACAGGATGTTTGCCTTGAGAAGTCAGTGATGGTATCCCCACCCACCCCCTTTAAAAAAAAAAAAGTCTTAGTTCTTAAGACTAGGAAACTACTTGTCAGTTCTGGCTCAAAACTAAGTCTCTGATGATCAAGCCACCTCCAGTTGGAGGATCTATGATCAGATACCTTTAGTCACTGTTCTAGACATTGGTTTAAGTCTGGTGCTCAGACCAGGGAAGATCAGCATCATCTAGGAAATGGCTGGAAATGTGAGTTTAAACCTTTGTCCACACCTACTGAATCAAACTCTGAGAATGGGACCAGGCCTACTGAATTCAAACCGAGAATGGGAACAGTCATCTGTTTCTACCAGCCCTCCCATGATCCTGAGGCACACTCAAGTTTGAGAACCAGTGATCTAGATTCATAATTAGTTCTACCCTAGTTTCCTTGATCTTATGGAAAAATTTTATTCCACGTTCTCTGACCTAAGACCTCTACTAAGTCTGAAATTTTTGTATCAGTTTCTATTCTATTCTCAGTTGAGTTATACTACCAAGCTTAAGAGATAAAGTGATGTGAACAGATGAACTAGTCTGAAATTAACCTTTTACCTTTCAAATGAGAAGCTCAGCACAGGCTGGGAATACACTCTGGTTTTATTGACACATTTGGTCTGGGCAACTCTTCTGTTTCTTGACAGCCAAGTAGGATACTAACAAGGCTCCAAGGATTAAGGTCCCAGAAAGGCCTGCCACCCACAGAACTTTCGAGTCTACAGGAACACCTGGAGGATGGATGGAAAGGTAGGTTAATGTATGCTAAAACCAAGTGATTCTGTGTCCTGACAAAGACTAGCAGTCTTCTGCTATAGGAAGGTCAATTTCTTTTGACTAGAACAAGAGGGATAGAAAGGAGGAAGTTGCTTTGATTAGTAATTTAGTTCACTAGTTTGATCTCCTCCCTCTTGGATACTTACGGAGCTTTTCTGGAGGGTCCTTAGTGGCTTGGAGTAGAATCATGGGGCCTTTGCTAGAAACACTAGCAGTAGTGTTCTGAGAACTGTTGTCAAAATTTCTTCTTCCTGTTAGAGAAATGAGACCTAGTAATTCATTAGTTTTTGCACACATAGGGCAGGGATAGAAAATGTTATGGTGCAAGGCCAAGTGTCTCTATAAAGCTTGGTTCTATGCCTTACAAAAACCTCATTAAGTATATTAATATGTACTTGAACAAGTGAGATTTTATATCTGATGCCATTACCTTAGTTTCACCAGGACTTTCGTATAAAGATGTTAGAAACTATCCCTGAACTGCCATCCTTTTCTAAATAGTACTTTGACAGTATCATGTTTATAATTCAGAGATCTTTCCCTGAAATTCAAAGGTAACTATTAGAACAGAACTTGGAGGCTGAGATGCAGAGAAAACAATTTAATGAGTTTAGATCTGGTTTTCAAGTGAAGTAAAACAAATTTCATTCACTTGAAATATACAGTTTTACGTTTTCTGTATCCTATGTTTTATTAAGAAAGATGGCAAGATGGCAAATGGAAGAGTGGGAAACAAAGGACACACCTGCAGGTGGACAGTGAGGAAAAAAAGCTTTCTGGAGTTTGAGACCAGCCCAGGCAACATAAAGATCCATCTCTATAAAAAAATAAGACAAAGGCCGGGCGTGGTGGCTCATGCCTGTAATCCCAACACTTTGGGGGGCCAAGGCAGGTGGATCACCTAAGGTCAGGAGTTCAAGACCAGCCTGGCCAACGTGGTGAATCCCTGTCTCTACCAAAAATACAAAATGAGCTGGACTTTGTGGCACATGCCTGTAATCCCAGCTACTCAGGAGGCTGAGGTGGGAGAGAGGGGGAGGGGGAGGGCGGGGGAGGGCGGGGGAGGGCCGGGGGAGGGCGGGGGAGGGCGGGGGAGGGCGGGGGAGGGCGGGGGAGGGCGGGGGAGGGCGGGGGAGGGAGAGAGAGGGAGAGAGAGGGAGAGAGAGGGAGAGAGAGGAAGAGAGAGGAAGAGAGAGGAAGAGAGAGGAAGAGAGGGAGAAAGGCTGGGCATAGTAGAATACGCCTGTAGTTTTAGTTGGGAGGCTGAACTGGGCGTATCACCTGAGCTCAGGAGGTCGAGGCTACCATGAACTGTAATCATGCCATTGTACTCCAACCTGCATGACAGAGCAAGAACTGGTCACACACACAAACACACACACACACAAACACACACACACACACACACACACACACACACAAACACACACACACACAAACACACACAAACACACACAAACACACACAAACACACACAAACACACACAAACACACACAAACAGTGTAGAACTGTTTTAATTCTACTTCTATTTGCCAGTTGTAGGACCTCAATCTAAGATGGTTCATTCTTTAGAAGTAGTGATAATATGCATTTTTGGAGATGTTACTTAATGTTGTACTTTGCATAATAAAGCACCATTTAGTTACTATGAGTTTTGCTAGAAGGCACTTAAAGCTTTAGAGGTCATGAATCCAAACTCAGAGGCTAGGCAAGTACAGGTAGAACCCATGTAGACATACAGACACATTGACTACTTAGAAGCATTGGACCCAACGAACTAGAGACCACATTCTAGGTCCAGTCATTCTACTTATAGATCTTTAGGCTGCATTGCCAGACCTGTCAAGCAGGTACAGACATGTTTCTCAACTATTCAGGTGTATCTTGTTAAAATGAGACATAAGATAGGCCATAAACTGCCTTGGTTGGTGGATGAATTAAAGTTTATATGGAAAAAGCTAAGGTTGAGGGTTACCCGAACATTTATAGCTTGTTTTAGGAGACATGGGATTCTGGGAAGCTAGTCATCTTTGTTCTATGGCACCGCAAGTACTTAGAGAAGCCTTAGTAAGATGAATCTTCAGTTTGAGTTGTTTGGCCAGAGACTAGGAAAGGTTAGACATGGGACTCAAGATTCATTCAAATCTGTCCTCTAACAGCTTGGTTACTCACGACTGAGATCAGGACAGGTCACCACACAGGATGGTGTCTCAGCAGGCTGGCAGACTGACACGCTGCAGTGCAGATGCACCTGGGAGCCAACAGAATTCAGGTCATTTGTAGTATCACCATGCCATGTATCTCTAAACCTGCTTTGCCTCCCCAGGAAGAGGTTCAGGAAGTTATCAGAAAATTGATATGGTCCAAGTTGATATCACAATGGCACTAAGGAACTGGAGTCCAGTTGACAGATGTCACTCATGTAATTAGTAACAAGGGTTGCTCTGAGTCAGTACCAATAGCCAGCATTAAAGGGCTTCCTTGGCTGCAGAGTAGTAGGACATGGAAACAGTTGTAAGTTGGGGAGGTTCAGAGCCCTGGTGAGTGTCATGGAAGGGAACATCCTACCGGTCCCCTGAGGGCCTGTTTCTCCACTGTAGGGTTCACAAAGCTGAAGGTGAAGATGCTGAAGCGCTGGTGGTGAGAGGGAAATGGAAGATCCAAGGCTTTCTGGACAGGGATCAGCTGGGTCTGATAGTTGTCTCCAATGTAGGGGCAGCTAGACCAAGAGACCCAGCAGTCAGGATGGGCTTCTTTGAGAATTTCAGCACAGGTGTATGAAAGAACCACTTACCCCTTTACCAGGATGGGCCACTGTGGCTGACTCAGGGGGTCAGTGCTGGGTGTTGCCCAACACTGTTGTAGGAGCAGCCCCAGGTAGGGGTCTGTTCTGTGAAGGATGGAGACCTCCACGTAAATGGGATCCCGAAGCAACTTCACCACTGGGTAGTCACCAACACCGTAGTAAGAGCCATAGTTTTTATCTGCAAGAGGCAGAAATAAGGATTTGAAGTAGTAATCTCTCAGTGACTTGAGGGACTGTCACCCCTTTAAATAGCCCCAAGCCCCTTAAGTGTCTTGTTACTAACTTAGGGTCTTCATGCCCCAGAAGACTGGATTTAGACTATAGGCCAGATACTCCAGCCAAGGGGGTCATACCTTTGGCAATCTGAAGTTCCAGAGTGAGGGGTCCAGGCTGGGTCTCAGGAAAGGGTGGTGGGAGAGTGAAAACCTGGACATTGATTGGGAGAGAGTTGCTACTTACTGAGTAGCTGCAGCTGACATGGAGCCTGCAGAGAAACAAGATTTTAGCTAGTTGGTTGTGGGAAGTGGGTGTCAGTTACACATCCTTTCTTTTTAACTCAAGGAAAGCATTAAGTGCTAGACAAGTTTATAAGTGTGATGGATGTGGTTCCTGCCCTGCTGGGAGCTGTATTTTAGTTGGGGAGACCAATATACAAGTAGGACCAATGTTTGAGTTGGAGATAAGCACACAGAAATAAAGATGCATCATGAGAAACAGATGCTTGCCATAGAGAAGATCAGGGAAGACCTTAGAGGTACCCTTGATATGAAGGTGAAAGAAAAACTTGAGGTACAGGGAAAGCGTCACCCAATATAGAGCAAAGCCTGGAGGCAAGGAAGTGCTTGAGGCCCTTTGAGAATTCCATAGAAGAACCAGGCTGCAATCGGGGAATAGTGAGTAAGGGACTGAGAATGTTAGAAGTGAACAGGCTGGAGATGAAGTAGGAGCTGTTTTATGCAGGGTCCTGATGTTCATCTTAAAGATTTTTTTTTTTTGTCCATGGCTTTAAGGTGTGTGATTTGACTGACTTAAGGTTTTAAAGGAATTCTTTTGGCTACAGCATGGACAGTGGAGAAGGCCAGATGTAGAATGGAGAAATGTAGGCTGAAATGTAGAATGGAGAAGGCCAAAATGAGAAAAAAATCTAGTTAAGTGAAATAGCAGAACTCCAGGTGAGCTTGAGGCTTAGGTCGGGTTGGAGACAGCAACACAGATGGACCTAATCAAGTAATGGGCAGTGCAATTGGTGAACCAAGGTAGCAGACAGGTTTTCTCCTATTGCTGAGGAATGCTCATTTGTGGATTCAGGGCTTACCTGAGAATGCCCACCTTATGGCAGATGGGAAGTCATTCTGGCCAAGCCCTTACCTGAAGATGCTGTCACGAGTGACAGAGCCACGGCTCCCATTTTTCACATCCCTAGTTGCCACCAGTTCATTTTCATATACTGCTCGGTCTCCAGTGATCTACAGGAATAGATGGAGAAGTCTTGATCATTTCTGTTAGTGTTATGCTGCTTGACTTGCATCTGGTCTAAGCCCTCAGCAATGCTACCCTGTTGTATGGTATATTTCCTATTACTTCAGCAGAGGTAAGAACACATAGCAGTGACATCCTGGCAAGTTATCACTTCGCCTTATCTCAGGACAAAGGAATAAGAAGGAATTTGAGCACCTAGGAGAGGCAGCTGAAGCACTACCAATTCCAGTCAGCATCCCTGCTGGTTTCTTCTCTATAGCACGGTAAATGACAGCCCCTTAGCTAGATCACAGCTGTGATGGTCTTAGCTGAACACCCAGAAGAGATTAACTTTTTCAGTGATGAGGCATTCTCCTGCCCTAGGGACTCTCCCAAACTCCAAGTAGTAGTCACAAGTATCGTTCACGGCCAACATATTTCAGCTCTCCCCCACTAGTCACTACAACCTTCCCACCCAACTTCCAGAGCCAGGAACAAAGCCCAACTGCTCACCTGTCTTGTGGTGCCACAGGAAGTAAATGGAAACTGGAACAGAACAAAAGCTTGTGTTGCCATCACAGGGTTACACGCACTGTCATTCCTAAGGGCCAAGCGCACAGAATCCAAGAGCAGTGGTGGCGAGGTCACGTTCCGAGACACAGCAATAGAGAAATGGCCCTCTCGGGTACAATGCAAGGTCACTGAAACAGAGCAGCTGTGCTGAAGGCAGGTCATCTCTCCCATTGTGGGGAGAACCAGATGAAAGTCTAACCACTTAGTTACTTTTAATCCCACTGAGAAGCTGGTGACAACTTCCCAGTGACAACCTCAGTGCAAGATCAACCAACCACAGTTTAACCCAGGCTCTAAATGATCTGGGGTTGAGTCTTGCCTCCCTGACTTATTGTGTGACCTCAGGCAAGTATTGCACCTCCTTGCTTCAGTTTCATGTGTTAAGAGGGGGATAGTAGTTCCTACCTCATTTTGCTTGTCAGTTAAGATTAAGATCTTGGAATAGCGTGTGCGATTATTAGGTTGGTAGAGAAGTAATTGCAGCCTTTGCCACAATGGCAAAAGCCGGGATTCCTCCTGTACCAACCTATACATACTCTGAGGTCAAGTTTATGTTAGAAAACCTCAGAGCAGGATTAGAGACAAGCAGAAAGCAACAGCCTTGAAGTGACTCTCCCTAAACAATCCAAGACCATCAGCCAAAGTCGCTATAAGTTTCTGTCAGTTAGAAGTTATCTGGCACTAGCAATTATCTGGCACATAGCCTTCAAGTCTGAGCGTTATTGACTTTATATCTGGATTCTGGGAGAATGGACAGTGGGAGTTGTAGAAGTCTGTTACATTGGGATCAAGTGTTCTTGGATGCATGGCTACATGGCAGCCTGCTATCACTTGATGTTTGCCTTCTGAGCAAACCCCTCTCTGGGTTTCATTGTAATTGCCACACTTCCTCAGCTGGTTTCAGAGGTGTGCTCACTTACTCACCAGTGTTTCCATAGTAGCAGGAATTCACCTCTTCAGAGCTATAACAACAGCCTAGCCCTTCACAGTCTCCTCGAGAGATGGGTGAAGGTGCACATGGCAGTCTGTCCCGTGCTGGGATGGAGTCACACCAGTCAGTATCTGGAGCATCTCGGGCTAGGTTTTGAAAAAGAGTAAGTCAGGTTAGATAATGGAAAAGTTAGTCTTGAATACCATTTTGATACAAGTCATTGACTTTGGATTCCTGTAGATATGTAGATGATTGAAATAGGTGTCTACTCCATATTGTAGATAGTATTGAGAGGTTACATGTTGTAGATTAAGTCTTGGGAGGTTGTCAACATTAAGTCACCTTGTAAGAGTGCCCTGCTATTAGTTTTTTAAAAACAAGAATGTCAACAAAATTGGTAGAAGCAGTTGGGGGGTTTCTTACTCCTTCCAGTAACAATCCTTCCTTCTGTTCTTTAGAGGCGTTTCTCAAGCCTTAGTTTGGATATGAGTTATCTGAAGATTGTTTTTGAGTTCAGGTCTGGTTCAGAACTGGGGTGGGGCCTATGATTCCTCATTTTATTAGTGCTGCCCATCCTGGCTATGTATTGGGAAGGAAGGCAGGTGAGAAGAGTGAATTTATAGTTTGAGTCTGTTCTGACTTTGAGGACGGGCTCTCAGTCAGGCGAGACTTTCTAAAGTTGAGTAGGCATCATACTTCCTGCTGTTTCCTTAGGGAAATGCTCAGATACCCCTCCAGCTTGTGGGATGGAAGACCTGGGTCCTAGTCTCAGTGCACATCTAGCTCTGTGGAGGTATTTTTCCAAGTTCCCTTGCTAGCTTCAGTTTTATTTCCTATCATTCTCCCCATGGGTGAAAAGCTCCTGGTTCTGGGAGAGTTCTTTGAATCCCAGCTCAGTCATTCACCAGTGATAGGCCCTTGGGAAAACTTCCTGGCAAGAGATAGGTTGTATTTTTTTTTTTTTTTTTTTTGAGACAGGGTTTCGCTCTTGTTGCCCAGGCTGTAGTGCAAGGGCACGATCTCAGCTCACCACAACCTCAGCCTCCCAGGTTCAAGCGATTCTCCTGCCTCAGCCTCCCGAGTAGCTGGGATTACAGGCATGTACCACCACACCCGGCTGATTGTGTGTTTTTAGTAGAGATGGGGTTTCTCCATGTTGGTCAGGCTGGACTCCAACTCCCGACCTGATCCACCTGCCTCAGCCTCCCAAAGTGCTGTGATTACAGGTGTGAGCCACTGTGCCTGGCCAGCAGTAGTATTTGCAGCACTATGTTAGGGTTAGGGAAGGTAACACCTGAAGTGCTTACCCACAGTGCCTTGGCATTGAGGAGTCTCAATTGGTAGTTATCCTAAGGATTGCCCATGGAGGTGAGAGTTGGGACATGATCCTTCCTTCATTAGTGTCAGGTGTCACTGCACAGAGCAGGTCAGAGAGGACCAAGAGTACTTTCACACCCCACCCCCACCACCCCCACAAGACCCTGAGAGCTTCCAGCCTTTACCTAGAAGATCCATAGGACACTTGAGCAGCTTCCTCTCTGTAACCACCTTGTGTTCAGCCGCGCCTGCTCCTTCAACTCCAACTGGCATGATGTAGTGGGAGTCCTGGAGAGACAGGCCCTTGGGGGTCAGCCTGGATGGTAGCATGAGGCGCTTCACACAGTCTCCCTGGCCATTGGGTCATACTCACCCACTCAGTGACATAGCAGCTGCTATAGGTTGCCTCCAACACCACGGAGCTGCCTGGACCTTTTCTTATCCAGGTGCCACAGTCGGAGTCATTCTGCAGCTCGTGCAGCAGCCCTTGGTTGTCTGGAGGGGTGGGGAAGAGGTGAGAAAACACAGCGGTCAGTCTCCAGTGCCAGAAAGGATAGTCAGCCTTGCCATTAGACCCCAAGGAGCAACTGTCAATAAGAGGAACAAGAGGGAAATCAGATTCAGATCAGATGTAGTTATAACTTAGACTATTTCTTTTGCAGAAAGATGCAACAGGGCTCAGAAGGTGAAAGTATCAATACGGGAAGATAGGGAGACATCTTAGGTAGTAGAGGAGACATATCATTGCTTGGCTAAGCAAGGCAAGTCATCAAACTTACCCCAAGCTATTAGTACAGGAGGAGACGTTGCCTCCTGGTTGAGGTTTACAGCAAACTGGAAGCTCCACGGCCCACAGTGGAGCACACTGGAATAATCTGGTGCCTCAGGCTTATGCTGGCCACTCACAGCAAGAGATAATGAAACACACAGCAAAACGCACCGCAGCAGCCACATAATGCTACCAGGAGTTCCTGCCGGCTGCAGACTCTCCGCCTCCTCTCCCAAGAGCCGAGGGTCTGCCTGCCCAGATTCCTTTATATACAGAAGTCAGGCTTGTTTTCAGCTGCACATCTTTGTGACACTCAGGTGGGATGCCTTCAGAAAGGGGAATTCCTCTAGCCTCATTTGCTTTGGGGCACAGTCTGCAGCTGCCTCACATTAAATACCACAATCCAGGCAGACTTCAGAGCCCAAGAAAAATGTAGTAACTTTTAGCTAACAGAAAGGAAGGAAAGAAAGCTTCCTCAGGGTTGCTCAACATAGCATTTGTCCCACCAGTTTATTGAACTTATTGACTTCAGAAGACCTCCCTCTAGAATTTTGCACATTTGGGTGTGAAACTACCATCTATGAACTATGGGGTCTGGGTACGTTACAAACTCTCTGAATCTTGGTTTTCTCATCTGTAAAATGGGAATGCTATCTCCTGGCAGTGGTGTGCTTGAGGATTAAGCAAGAGATTCTATGTCAGGTGCCTGGCACAGTGCTTGGCCAAGCAGTGAGTGCTCAGTCAACATTGTCGGGTGAGAGTTGGGGCCCTTGAGAAGCCTTGTCACCTTCTCCATCCATTCTAGAAAAGTTTCTGTACGATTAGAGCCTGTCTTGAAATTCTAGAAAAAAATCTAAACTTATTTCCTGAGAAAGGTTGATTTTGAACCCTTTCCTGGTCCTTAGAGGGAATCCTACCACAGCAATCTTTCAACAAATTCCAAAGTGGTTCATTGCCATAACTGTCCTACAGTGTTTCCCCACAGGATCTGGGGGAAATGTGGATTAGGCCATGAATTCCTCAAACTGGTTCTGCCTCTTACAGCTATTTGACAATTTTATCTTTCGGCTGTGTTTCAGGCATATTTCATAAAGATGTCAGGGTTTCTTGCTTGCTTTCTACATTTTTGTTTTCCACATAAACTACAAGTTATATACTTTGGTCACTCTTTAAGCTAGAGTGTCAGACCAGATTGTAGAGAAATTCTAAGAGATTTGGGGATAAATGGATACATTCCCCACTGGAGAGGCAAGAGCATGGAAACTTGTCTTCTGCAGTCTGCCACCAATATTCCCAAATTGTACCCTGATTGTATTTAGACTGATATTTTTCGGTTGACTAAAAATTGTAGTCAAAGCACTGAGAATGTGTAACTAGGTATCTCTAGTTCTCTTCAACTCATCACAGAGGACAAATAAGTATGTGTCTTCCTGGGAAAATTGGTGGCCCTTTTAACCACATGATGAAAAATGACATTGAAGGAAAGCTGGACTCTGCCCTCAAAGACAGATGTGGCTTCCCTGACACCGTCTACCTGGATTAGGTGCTCACCACTGGGTTATTACATGCCATTTACTCACAGGATTTGCCAGGTTGGATTGTAATGACCTCTTTCTTATTCAGTTTGCCACTAGAAGCACGTGAGGCCAGGGACTTTTTTATTTGTCACTGCATCCTGCGTGCCTTGGATGTATGTACTCAGTGTTCTCTGAGTAAAGACTGAATCAATGAATATGCTTTCATTAGTGGCCATGTCCTAGGGCTAACCCCCTTGAAAATGTAGTTTCCAAACCTCACCGGTACAAATTCATTTCCTTTATGATGAGCTCAAACTCATAACCCTTAGGTATTTTTCCTTCAAGTAAATATCATGTGATTGCACATGTAAGAAAGAATCTGAGGATTTGACTCATGCAAGATGTCTCAGGAGTTAAAAGGCCAGTCTCCTGACTAGACTTACTAATATTGCTTTATGCTGAGACCAGCTCAGTCGGGGAGACCCTAACCCAGGGATGCTAGAGGAATAAAGACACACACACACACACAAATATAGAGGTGTAGAGTGGGAAATCAGGGGTCTCACAGCCTTCAGAGCTGAGAGCCTCGAACAGAGATTTACCCACATATTTACTGACAGCAAGCCAGTGATAAGCATTGTTTCTATAGATTATAGATTAACTAAAAGTCTTCCTTATGGGAAACAAAGGGATGGGCTGAAATAAAGGGATGAGCTCTGGCTAGTTATCTGCAGCAGGAGCATGTCCTTAAGGCACAGATCACTCATGCTATTTGTGGTTTAAGAACACTTTTAAGCGGTTTTCCATCCTGGGTGGGTCTGGGGTTCCTTGCCCTTATTCCGGTAGACCCATAACCTTGCAGCGTGGGCATCATGGCCATCACGACCATCACGAACATGTCACAGTGCTGCAGAGATTTTGTTTATGGCCAGTTTTGGGGCCAGCTTATGGCCAGATTTTGGGGGGCCTGTTCCCAACAGCTTTATAAAGTGGTGAAAAGTCAAGGAGCGTAACTTCCTTTGCTCATACTTGGAGGCAATATAGTATAGTATATCATGTGAGTTTTGACAATGGGTGGACTTGGGTACAAATTCTGACTGTTACTCTGCAACCTCTGTCAATGTATTAACCTCTTTCTCTCAGTTACAGTTTTTATATCTGTAAAATAGGGATAATAACATGGACAGTATTATTACAACAGACGGTTAGATGAAATAATGTATGTACAATGCTTGTTGCATAATTGCTACATTGTCACTAACATCAACAGGACCAGCCTGGGAGATAAAGGTGAGATGGGTGGCAAATGGAAAGCAAATGCCAAGCAGTGCACTCATTGGATCTGCAGGGAGTCTGAGGAACAGCCTATACTCATGAGGCTGCATTCCCAAATGAGGTCCTGTGTTTACATAATGAAGTTGAAAAATCACACAAGCCTGGAACTATGTGGAGCTATCTTGAAGTCCACCTAGGATCACACCCATCTCTCTGATGCTGCAGAGGGTCAAAGATGGATGCCAAGATAATGCAGGCAGGTCTGGGGTTAGGTAATGTTATGCTCATTCCTCTGCTGAATCTTCCAAGAACATCATCATTTAATTTCGGGATGAGAAAATGCACTGATAATGTGTGATCCACCTCGAGGAGCCCCAGGCTTAACAGAAAAAACATCCTATCCACTATTATCACAACATGAATGCTCTGTCCTTTGAATGTGAAAGGGCAAATGCTGTTCTTTGTCTTATGTCAGAATCACCCAGTCATTTAAAAATTGTTTCAGAGCCATTACGAACAGATTATGAGGCATCCTAATGTGTACAGACTTATCAAAAGCCCCATAGTCATGGTAGTATTCATGCAACCCACATTTTATAGGCGGGCTTAAGGATTCCCCTTGTGTTCCTTACCAAAGTACTTGGGAGTCCTGCACTGAAGCTAAGCTGCCCATTCCTCATTCACTGAAGCTGCCCATTCCTCATTCAGTGATCTGGCCACTCAGGTCATGAGGGCAACCTGTGTGATTGGGGAAAGGCAAACGGTGATTTCCAAAAACCTTCTTCAATCTGGTCATATTTACATTTGAGTGTTTCATTTTAAACTGCAGAATAGGGACATCACCCCACAAGGTTTGGATAGCATGGAGCTGTAGTACAATGCTTTCTGGCCATTGAGTACAGACTCCTCATCTGACATTAACAGTGATTGCCCCGCTGTGACTGGAGCAGGGTCCTCCTAACTGGAGAGTGAAGTACCACTCAAACAAGGCCCCAGGAAGCCCACTTCAAGTGTGGAGAAGCAATAATCAAAATTATCCCTCAAATATGGAGGGATGATTAGACCATTGTTGTGTTAATCAGTAATTAGGGAGCAAGGATGGTGCATCCAGCTGCTCTCTGCATGTGGTGGAAATTAGGACACTTCTCTTCTGAAGGAAGATGTCAAACTTAATTTACTGTAAGTACTTACATGGTTTTCCTTTTCAACAAGCAAGAATGAAGTGTAATTCAGAGTCAGTTGCGATGGCTTCCATTACTGGGTCTCTTGTTTCAACGCCTCTTTTGTGTCCAAGGTACAAGACCTGTCTCTGAAGTGTCTCCTGTGCTGACTGCACAGCACCTGCTCTGTTCTGATGTCTCTCCCCTCCCTGCTCCACACCTTCCTTTGCCATGATGGGTGGAAAATTATCATTCCCTTTCACAGGCAGGAGGATACCCTACTGAATGGGTAGTCGGACTTTGAGAGGGATGTCAGTATGGTTGACCCTTGAACAATGTGGGGGCTAGGGGTGCCAACCCCGCATGCAGCCAAAAATCCATGTAGAGTTTTTTGGTCCCCCTCAAATGTAACTAATGTAATTGCCTGATGGGTTTGTCTTACTTGCTGCACAGGCAAGATCAATTCACTGAGACCCTGACATTCTGATGAGGAAAGAATATCATTGATGTGAGGCCAGCCACATGGGAGACAGTTATGACTCAAATCAGTCTCTGAAGGCTTGGAGGTTAGGGGGTCTTCAAGCATAGTTTGGTGGGCAGGGGACTAAGGAACAGCTGCTGTTGATTCATTGGAATGCACTCTTAAGGGTATGGAAAATGGTCCTTGTGCACTGTGTTCACTTCTGGATCACGGGGCCACGGGACCAGTTGGGTCATGAGTCACAGGTCTGCCTTTGGGTGGGGGTCAGTCAGTTGCCAGAATGCAAAAGCCTGAAAAATACCCCAACATATCAATCTTAGGTTCTACAATAGTGATGTTATCTATGGGAGTAATTGGGAAAAGTTACACGTCTCCTGACCCACAAAACAATGCCTGGTTATCTGTAAGTACACCTAGATCTTAGCAGAATTCCAGCACCTCTCATCCTAACCTTGTAGACTTTCATTAGTCTTACAAAGGTGGTTTAGTTTTGGGAAAGGCTATTATGAACCCTGCTTTAAGGTTACATTATAAACTAAATCTCTCCCAAAGTTAGCTTGGCTTACTCTCAGGAATGACCAACAACAGCTTGGAGGTTAGATGCAAGATAGAGTTAATTATGTCAGACTTCTCTTACTTCATAATTTTGCAAAAGTAGTTTCACTAATAGCCTATTGTTGATCAGAAGCCTTACCAATAACATAAACAGTTGATGAACACATATTCTGTATATGTATTATATTATATACTGTACTCTTATAATAGAGTAAGCTAGATAAAAAAATGTTATTAAGAAATCATAAGGAAGAGAAAATGTTTCCTATTCATTAAGTGGAAGTGGATCACCATAAAGGTTTTCATCTTTGTCATCTTCACATTGAGTAGGAAGAGGAGGGGTTGGTCTTGCTGTCTCAGGGGTGGCAGAGGTGGAAGACAACCTATGTATAAGTGGACTCATGTGGTTGAAACCCATATTGTTCAAGGGTCAACCATATGTTGATATTCCTATTTCTGAAAGTGAAAGAAGAGATTAAGAAAGAGGTAGGAGACTAAGTTGCTAAAGAAAGAAAAAGAGTTAAAATTTAAAACTTTTGCACTGGAAGTCCTGACTTCAACACAATGATATATATCAATGTAGCAAAATTGCACTTATACCCCATGAATATATGCAAATAAAAAATAAAAATTAGAAAATATAAAATTAAGGACTTTTGGGTGGGGAATTACAGATAAGGTTAGTGAAAATTTTCTGGCCCAGACAGACTGCCTCTGTTGAAGTTCATGCCCTTCCTCCACCTTTAATTATGCCATCTGCTTAAGTTTGGATCATGTTCTCCCCTCTCTAGACCATGCAGTTGACATGTTGTCTTTACAGGTGACAGTAAGTTTTGAGCACCACAGACCAGTAGGGTCTCCTCCAACATCCCATATCTATCAAAGTATGTAATTGTCATGGGTTCTAATTCTAACTTTTAAAATACTAACAGAAGGGAAAAAACCCTGACTCTAGTGATTTCAGGTAGTGTGTCTTACTTAGACTTTCTGTAGACAAGGTATTTATAGTGGCTTCTGCCCACTTATTAATTATTTGTGCAAGCCTGTGGGAAATTACTCCTCCACTCAAGAGCAAGACAAAGTGGGCAGAAGGAACAAAGTTTATGGCCAGATTGACTGACAGCTGGGCAGGCCCGAGATTGACAGTTGCCACTGCACCACTGATTGGCTTTTCATTTGAATGTGGGTGGTAACAGCTAATTTTATACTGTCATCCAAAGAACAAGAGAACCCCTAGGAAACATATCCTCTTTAGCATTACCCAAAAAATTACAAAACAAATCTTTCCATGCAATTGTGGTTGAGAATGAGGGCTATTACTCTGATTTCAAAGGCTAATTAAGAGGACAGCAGGCAACGTGTGGATATACCATTTAAAATGACAAATGCCAAGATGTGTGTGGTATGTGTGGGTGTGTGCCTGTGTGTATGTAAAGAATTTGAAATTGCCTTCTGCAATAGTTTACTGGGGCTGCCCTAACAAAGTACTGCTGACTGGGTGACTCAGAACAACAGAAGTTTGTTCTCTCAAAGTGCTAGAGGCCAGAAGTTCGAGACCAAGCTGTCAGTGGGGCCATGAAACCTATAGGGAAGAACTTCTTTGTATCTTTATCTTCTGGTGATTGCCAGAAACCCTTGATATTTTTTGGCTTGTAGGTGCATCCCACTGATCCTGGGCTGTACACACCAGTGTACTCCCTGTGCTGTACACATCAGTGTACTCCCTGTGCCTTCACAGTCTTCCCTTTGTGTATATATATCTCTCTCTCTGTGTCCAAATTTCCTCTTTTATGTGGACACCAGCAGTACTGGATTAAGGCCTACCTGAATGACCTCATTTTAACTGGATTACCTCCATAAAGACTCTATTTCCAAATAAGCCTACATTCTGAGGGACTAGAGGGTTAGGACTTCATAATATTTTTGTTGGGGGAGATATAATTCCACCTATAATGCCTTGTAAGCTGTTTTGAAATTGCACCAGCCAAGTTAATCTTTGTTTGGGGTAGACTTTTTTTTTAATGATGAAATGAAAACAGTGTGCCTTTCCCTGTTAAAATTCCTTTTGAAAATTCCCAATCTAGCCTTGACTAAACTAAAGGGATTTTGTCATTCTTTTTCATTTAGAGGGAAGGGATCAGTTATGCACCCAATGGCTGAATTGGTTGGTACTAATGGCTGTTTCAGTTTAGAGAGTGGGCAGACCTGGTGAGGTGGGGTAGTTCAAAAGCAGAAAATTGAGGAGGAAAGGTGCAGGTCACACGACAGCTATTCTTACTTTGGCCATTGCTTTATGCCTGATAACTATTCTAGCACAATTGCTCTCAGCTAACTGGAGTTGACTGGGTAATTAATTCACGAAGGTTTTGAGTCTGATGATATCTTATATCGTCATACCTTGTATCTGTGAGGCATTGGTTCCAGAACCCCTGAGGATCTCAAAATCTGTGCACACCCAAATCTGGCAGACAGCCCTGCAGAACCTGCATATAGGTAAAGTTAACCCTCATCCGTGGGTTTCATATCCCATGAATACTGTATTTTCCATCCACATTTGCTTGCAGATGTGGAACCCATGGATACAGATGACCAACTGTATCTGTTGAAAAACGTCTGTGTAGAAATGGACCCACAAGGTTCAGCCCATGTCGTTCAAGGATCAGCTGTACAGTGTGCTCCTTCTATGTGACCCTAACTTGATCGTAACCAGGATATTGCTTTGCTTTTCTACCCACGTGCCTTTAGTACATGGTTCTCTCTTCCTGGAATGCCCACAGCCTCATCTGTATTTGCCCAATTCCTAACTTTCCCTTGAAGCAGAGGTTCTGGAAATTTTGTTCTTAGATCAGCAGGAGCAGAATGGCCTGGGGACTTGTTAGAAATGCATATTTGTGGGTCTCACTCCACATTTCCTGAATCAGAAACTCCAGCCTTGGGAGCAGCATTAAGTAGCCTTCCAGGTGATTCTGATCCACTCAAGCAAGAAGACCACTGCCTGGGGCTAGAGCTTTCCAGGTTCTCTTCATGAAGCACACTGCCTAATCCCCCAGCTGGAGGTCATTCCTTCTTCATTTGGTTTTCTTGTGCTCTCTATCAGTACTCCTTTTAGGGAGTGACTACTTAGTATTCTTCTTTCCCTTCCTGGATTATACGAAGTTTGAAGGTCAGTCATACTCACCTTTGTCTTCTCCACATTGCTTACCTCTTATGCTCAGACAGTACTTGTTAGATGAGTGAACTCTTGATTATTTAAGTGGCCTGCATCTGTGCTTTATAGGGGAGCTGGTTTTGCAAGGCCTAATTCATTTTCTGCCACCCATCTGTGTTTTTGAGCTTACCTCAGCATATGAGTGAGACTTCCTGTAAGATCCAGTCTGCTCTGCTTAGCATGGCAACCCCAGTCCTCTCCGGTTATCCAGCATGGCCTCTTTTCTCCCAGTGGCTGGTCAAGCAGAAGCCTCTGCAGTTTCTTAAACCCACCCTGATCCCTTCCTTCCCCCTGCTGTGGTCTGTGGATTTTCTTTTCTGAAATACTCTCTTACCCTTTGTTTATGTGTGTGTGCCTGCTTACTCTATATTATTTTTATATTTTTTACTCTATTTTTTATTTTTACGCTATTTCTTTTTTTAAAAAAATTATTTGAGATGGAATCTTGCTCTATTGCTCAGGCTGGAGTGCAGTGGTGCAATCTCAGCTAACTGCAACCTCTGGCTCCTGCGTTCAAGCAATTCTTGTGGCCTAGCCTCCCGAGTAGCTGGGATTACAGGCACGCACCACCACTCCCGGCTAATTTCTTTTTAGTACAGATATGTTTCACCATGTTGGCCAGGCTGGTCTTGAACTCCTGGCCTCAAGTGATCTGCCCACCTCGGCCTCCCAAAGTGCTGAGATTACAGGCAAGAGCCACTATTTTATTTTATTTTTATTTGTTTATTTATTTTTTAGACAGAGTCTCCGTGGCCAGGCTAGAATGCAGTGGCACAGTTTCAGCTCACTGCAACCTCTGCCTCCTGGGTTCAAGTGATTCTTCTGCCTCAGCCTTCTGAGTAGCTGGGACTACAGACACATGCCACTGCACCCCACTAATTCTCTGTATTTTTAGTAGAGACGGGGTTTCACTATGTTGGCCAGGATGGTCTCAATCTCCTGACCTCGTGATCTGCCCACCTCGGCCTCCCAAAGTGCTGGGATTACAGGCGTGAGCCTCCACACCTGGCCCTTTATTTTTTTAAAGAACCTAACTGGGCCGGGTGTGGTGGCTCACACCTGTAATCTCAGCACTTTGGGAGGCCGAGGTGGGCAGATCATGAGGTCAGGAGTTCGAGACCAGTCTGGCCAATATGGTGAAACCCTGTCTCCACTAAAAATACAAAAATTAGCCAGGCACGGTGGCGTGTGCCTGTAGTCCCAGCTATTCAGAAGGCTGAGGCAGAAGAATTGCTTGAACCTGGGAGGCGGCGGCTGCAATGAGCTGAGATCGTGCCACTGCTTCCCAGCCTGGGTGACACAGCAACACTCCGTCTCAAAAAAACAAACAAAAACCTAACTAAAGCATCATCTGCTCTGGAAATTCTCTCCCCCACCTCCTTTTTTTTTTTTTTTTTTTTTTTTTTTGAGACAGGGTCTCACTCTGTTGTCCAGGCTGGAGAACAATGGCACAATCATGGCTCACTGCAGACTTGAACTGGGTTCAAGAGATCTTTATGCCTCGGCCTCCCAAAGTCTTGGGATTATAGGTGTGAATAACTGTGCCCAGCCTCTTCTCTCGCCTTGATCATTTTGGTGCCTTCCCCTCTCCTGGTCCTTTTCAGAGTATCTTAATTGTTCCTTCCTTGGTCTAGGTCCCTTGTGATCACAGGTTCGTTGGGTGTAGTCTGTCCTTTCTAAATCAATGCCTCCAACATAGCAAGGCCTCCATCAATATTTATGGAATGGGTGGATAATATTCTGAGAATTCAGCTTAAAACATCACAAAAACACCCCAGGAAGAAACAGGCCCCTCCTCAGCCCCTCTGCTCCCTGCCCTGTTTTTCACCCCAAGGGCTGGCAGTCCTCTCCGCATTCGGTTCAACGGACTTTCTTAAACCTTCGTAACACCCTTTCCTATAAGTGAGACTAGTTAAATGATTTTGCCAAAGCATATTTGTGCACATACAAAGACATATAATGAAGACAAGTAGCTGCCGTGTTCACCTCCCTGTAAGCAAATATCAATAGAATAATGAAATTTTTGTGTTAGGATATTTTTATTCAGTCTGAACACAAATAAGTCATAGAGGGTAGTCAATGCTTTGGAAATAAATCACGTTAATTCCACTATAAACAATTAATGTTCACCTAGCCCCAACTCTGGGTCAAATATTTTCCAACATTCTAGGGATAAAAAGTAGCCCTCTCTTACCCTAATTTTCTTGTTCTCCCTCCCTCTCTTTTGCTTTTTCTCTCTGTCTCAATTATCTCTTTCATCAGATGCTCTCTGTCACATACTATGCTAGGCTTGCGGGTAAAACAGTAAATAGGAGAGAATTAGTCTCATGGCATTTAAATAGTCTCTGAGCAATAATTAATCACACATGTATTCCCTATGGCTAGCCTAATATCTGCCAGTGATGCTTGTTAATGAATCAATGAATTGATCAAACAATGAAATCATGGATAAACTAATTAAAAATGTTCCTATGTATTTTGCTTAAGAACAGCCAGCAGCTCATGTTTCATCAGTGCATGTGATTTGAGGGCTGTCATTTCTGGCTGGATGCTGGGTATTCCAAATAATTCCTCCCATATTCTCCTTTTCCATTCATTTATCACTCTCCTCTTTTTTATTTCTCTCTTAGTCTCACAGATAAATGATAGGTTAGAATCAGAGCAAGAGAATCTATTCAAGGTTGCTTTTTTCTTTTTTTTAAACTTCAAAGCTCTAGTTTTGCAGAGCCATCTGAATTCCTTGTGATGGTGACAAAATATAAAGTAGGGTGCCTCCAAGTTCAGCAGAAGCCTGCCAACCACTATCTTGTAGTCTGATATCTACCACTAGGGGAGCTGCAAGTTCAAAAGGCCTCTCACTAGGAGTCTGCCCTGGAAGCTGACTGTGGCCCTCATCTGATAGCCTCATGGGAGAGCACCTAACTCCCTTTCCTGCAGTGAGGCTATTACTCACAAGTCTCCAGAATTGATGAAAATGGCTGCAAGGACAAATTTAGATAACAGTGGGGGAAAAAATGGCTTGTGGATCAGAGATGCAAATTGGCGATGACATTGGGTAATAAATGAGTCCAATCTGTGTAAGAGGCTGGGGTCATGCCTATTATCATCCCACACGGCGACATTGGCGAGAGCAGGACTTTGGCAGGCATTTATCACAGAGTATATTACAAATGTCATTAGTGAAACATTAATATTACACAACATTTTAGAAAGGCTGAAGCAATCATCTCGTTTTAATAACAAGACAGTTCTTAAAGATTTCCTTTATTTTTTCCTCAAGCAGAAAATGAGGAACATTCTAGGATTATCAGATCTCACTCTTTGTTTGCAAATTGCAAACTGAAACTGTTGATCACTGCATTTCTTTCTTCTTAAATCGGGTCTGCTTGACAAGTGACTGCCATGCATTTCTCTTTATTCAAGGAGACAGAAGACCCTGCTGTTTTGAGGTAAGGGAATTTGCTCCTTGTTGGTTGAAAATTGTAAGCTCTGGAGATGGATTTTTTTAGGCACCCGATAAATACTGAGCTGTGTTTGTATCATCTTCTGCCATGCTTTGAGGAGAAAAAAAAGAGACCTCTGATGCTCTTAGCATAATAGCAAAGGCTTTAGTAGTTGAGGGTTACTTCCAAAGAAACCTGATTTTAACCCTTGGAATTCTGGCCACTTCCACAAAGAGTAGCCAGAGAAATAATCTCACTGGCCTCTGTCACATTTCCTCCTGGATTAAGCATCTATTATATGCTCTAATTTTGCTGGGAATTGAAAGGAGTATTAATAAGAAAACCAAAAAATACATATCTGAATTTATAAACAATACATAAAATCATTGACTTACAGAATATTAGAGTTGCAAACAATTTTAGGGAGGTCCTTTTTTTATTTAAGAAAATGGAGAATAACTGGCTTTGCTCAGACTAGTTGGGAGTATTTGAGAGAGAATTGGGACAAGAAACTAGGACTTTAGACTATTTAAAGAAGGAGTTCAAGACTTAGATGGGTGTCAAGGCAAATACAGTGAGGCAGTTCAGAAATAATGCAACCACAAAAAAATCTCAAACACCAATATGAGACATTATATAATCAAGTGACAAAATATGTGATACAGATAGAAAGGACTAGGACCAGAGAGCAGTGGGAGGCCAGTGACATTAGAGTTGAAAGTGTCCAAAGGTGGAATTTGAGTTTCAGCTGATGATGCTTGAGTGTGATAAAATAGATGGTATGGGAAGAGGCTAGTCACAATTTGATGAATTAATGACTATTAAATATTAAAGGGCAAAGGGCAAAAATGATCAATAAACATGCAGAATAAGGAATTGACAGGATGTAGGTGGGCGACAGTAAAGGGTCACACCCAGTGGAGAAGGGGATTTGTGTTGAGAGATGAGTCTGATGGACGATGTAGCCTTAGCACCTCTCCTGTGCAGGCACAAGGAGTGAGAATAAAGGCATGAATAATTTAGATCTCCTGTCAGACCTGGACCAAGATCCCAGCTCTCCTAAATCCTAGCCTAAGGACTTTTCCATAGAAGCAAATAGTTTTTGCAGCTGCTTCCTCTGGCGGTATGTGCATATAGATTTTCTTTTGTACAGTTAAAAAATGTAGATTCATGCTTGCCAAGGTAGATAAGTCTGGGTTTTGTCTCAGCATGAGAAGCCATCAATAAGTTGTTAAAATAAATAAGTAAACAAATTAAAACAACAGGTGATGGTGGTGTTCTGCATAGCTTGAGGGGGTCAATGATGGGGAGAGAATTACAAGTAAATATAATTGAAATAAAAACTGAGACAATCTAGGAAGGGGAGCCAGTTCTTCTGACCTCACACTTTACATACATGTTAATACCTTTCTTTGAAACTGTATAAATTCACTTTGGCCAGAAATTCCCCAGTTTTTCCCCCCAAGTGATCAGGCCCATTGCTCATGCTTCCTCCCATCCCATCTGGAGCTTCTTCTCTGAAACTAAATGATGTGGCAAATTGACATTTCTGCAATAGCATAGAAAAAAAGAACAAGACTTGTTTATGATTTATGCACTGCATTTTCATGCTCCGGGGCATAGATAATTTAGCAGAGGCTTGAAATGAAGGAGAAAGCATTTAAAGTCATGTGGGAATTTGATAATACCATTGGGTTGAATGTTATTTGTATGACTTTGGAAATAATTAATTTCTCAAATCTACTTTGTCTTCCAAGTTGATTAGTCTACTTGTTGCAGATGACTCCTTGATGGTTAGTGAAACTCTCAGGATGTGGGGTGGGTAAGTATTTACTAATGAAACCAGCCATTAAATGGCATTTTATTCCAATGTGCCAAATACAGGAGGGACCATTCCAATAGCCTGCCTTCCTGGGAAGGAGAGACTTTTGCCCAGGATTGAGGAGACCTAAGTCCTATTTCCAACTTTGATGAAGACAGTGGACTCCTCCATGAACAATTTACTCATCCTTGGACTTCCCACTCCAGGACTGGTACATAAGAATTGTCAACTAATGTGTTGCTGAATGGATGCCAAGCTGGTTGTGTAATTCTGTGGACTTGCCTCTGGGTCTCAGTTTTGTCAGTTGTATAATAAAAGCATCCTTGTTGCTCATGTTTAAAGTCCCCTTACCGCACTAAAATCCTATGACACAAGCCTTACATGATTTGGGCTTGACTTGTTTAATTATCGTTTTGCCTCAATCTGATCAAAATGTTAGCTAGTAGCCTGAGATAAATTGAAAAATCTTCCTCTGTTTTTTTCGCATGATAAAACGTCTGTTTAAGGCAATTTCTATTTTTAAAAAATCATATATGGGTAGTTATGAATTACTGAGGCATGAGACCATATCAATAGCAATGAAATAAAATATTATTAAACTATTATTTAAAAAAAAAAAACAAATAGCTGGGGGCGGTGGCTCACGCCTATAATCCCAGCACTTTGGGAGGCTGGGGTGGGCGGATCACAAGGTCAGGAGTTTGAGACCAGCCTGGCCAAGATGGTGAAACCCCCGTCTCTACTAAAAATACAAAAATTAGGAGCCGGGTGCGGTGGCTCACGCCTGTAATACCAGCACTTTGGGAGGCCGAGGCGGGGGGATCACGAGGTCAGGAGATCGAGACCATCCTGGTTAACACGGTGAAACCCCGTCTCTACTAAAAATACAAAAAAATTAGCTGGGCGTGGTGGCGGGCACCTGTAGTCCAAGCTACTCGGGAGGCTGAGGCGGGAGAATGGCGTGAACCCGGGAGGCGGAGGTTGCAGTGAGTCGAGATCGTGCCACTGCACTCCAGCCTGGGCGACAGAGCGATACTCCGTCTCAAAAAAATAATATCTGTCTCAAAATAATAATAATAATAATACAAAAATAAAAATACAAAAATTAGCCGGGCGTGGTGGCGTGTGCCCTGTGGTCCCAGCTACTCAGGAGGCTGAGGCAGAAGAATCGCTTGAACCCGGGAGGCGGAGGTTGCAGTGAGCCGAGATTGCGGCACTGCACTCCAGCCTGGGTAACACAGCGAGACTCCATCTAAAAAAAAAAAAAGGTTAAATTTATGGGTCAGGATGCATTACCCTGGTCCATTCAGCTTTATTTTTTAATTTTAAAAATTAGCCCAAATGGGTGGCTCTACCGTTATGAATTACCTAGTAAGATAAAGGTAAGGAGAAGAAAGCTTTGCCTGACATAAGAGCTTAAGAAATCCATATCAAGTCCATTGCTGAATGGTGAGATGTGGGTGCAATGTGATTTATTTTATATTTTAATGTAAATGCAATGTAATATCCTTCTAGAGATTACATTTGTCCTGTTGCTTCCACTGAAAGAAGAGCCAGAAATATGCCTTAGAATTTTGGAAGAGAACTGCCCATCTTCAAGGATGGATATTGGTCTCCCCGGAGTCGCTGACAGGGTTCCTGGGGAAGAATAAGAGCTCCTAGCATCGTTGATGTAGCTTCTTTTAGATGGGTGAGGCTGAAAAATAACTCTACTTATTGTATAGAGAAAAGGAGTATAATCAGATCTTTTGTGTATTTAAAAGGGAAGGCTGCTGGACCTCTAAAGTATGGATTTCTGGTTGGGGAGGAGATTGGCTTGTTCTGGACCAAGGAGGTGGGTGGATACAGCAGAAGCAGCCATAAGTAGGCATGTGAAAGCCAACTGGTCCCTGGGTGGTAGCTGTGTATAGCAGTGGAAAGATCTGAGCCCTGATGTATGCATACTTAGCGGCACATTAGATTATTTTAACATTAAAGGACTGGGTGGACCATTCTATAGACAGGCCTCAGCAGGTTTCTGTTCAGGTGGAAACTCAGATCCTGCTGATGGAGTACGTACAGGCATGCCTTCAACAGGAATAGAGACTTCAGGAGGCAGTGAGCAGATTCTAGCTCTGGCATTGCTGGGGTGAGGATATGTCTGCCCTCCCAACCCTCTTCTACTTTTGGACTTCTAAAAAGTACCTGGACAATTCAGAGGTAAGAGGCATCTAAGAAGTACATAATAGACTTCCTGCTAACGATGCAGATTAGGCCTTGACCCATTCATTGATAAATAATAAAAAGTATTTAAAATAATAAAGAATAAAAAAGTTTTACTGGCAACTCGAGTTAAGGGAAAAATTTATACTATTTTTACAAGTAATATGTACTCATTTAGAAAATGTAGAGAATGCAGAGAAGTAGGAAGAGTAAGAGCATTCAAATTCACAAACTCAACGATGATCACTGTTAATATTTTGGAGTGACTATCCCCTTAAGAAAATAGTGCTTTAATAAGTGGACTGCAAATATTCATGGGCCAACTGCATATCTTTTGATGGGGGAAGACTTTGTGCAGAGTGGCGGGTTGGGCCCACCCCTCAGGCAGTGCAGCCTTTCAGATTCCACAGGCACCTAGGTTTGGTTTTTATTATGAACTAAAAGCTCCACGAAGAATTTCTGTCTTGTTCACTGCTGACTCCCAGCAGCTAGAACAGTAACTGACCCATAGTTGCCCTCAAAATATATTTACTAAGTGAATGAATGGATGAACGTGTGGGTGTCAGTTGGGGTTACCAAATTTAGCAAATAAATACCTAGCATTCTCATTTAACTATACATTTTTAATACACTTTTTTAGTGTAAATATAATATTGCATGGATATATTTGTACTAAAAATTATTTGTTATTTATCTGAGATTCAAATTTAAGTAGATATCCTATCATTTATCTTGTACCCCTTTTATGAGGTTCTGTTTCTTCTAGATTTCCTCATTCTGTTGTATTTTCTTGTTCCTTCTTATTGGGATACTTACACTGTGCTTCCCTGAAGGGAGGTAGATGACTGAAGTGTGATTTTCCAAAGGCAGAAGGAGGCTCGTCACAGCCTACTTTATCCAAATGGGCCCTTAACCTGCAGTCCTACCAGCCTCTCAAACAGCGAAACTTTGCAGCTGGCAGAGATGTGTATGACACACCTGTGCTGCCAATCACTGAAGAAACCATGTCTTGAGGAACCTAAGGAGAAAAACTCAGTGGCAATTGCTTGTCAGTGAAAACAGGTAAAGTGGTTGCGTATTTAACATTAGGTTGTGAAGTGAGTCTATCCTCAGGAAGGAAAGGATAAAAGCTTATGTATGAGACATTTCATATTCAGATGAAATGAATACCTAGCCTGCACCTTCTTTCTTGGGTAGTTGTAATGTCAGCTCTCTCTGGGGTTCTTTCTTTGACCCACTTCTCTTCTCATTCTAGGTTAGCCCCTCCACTCCCATGGTTTTAACTGATGAGTTACAAATCTTAGTATCTGTAATGCAGATTTTCATCCAGTAGGTGATTGTAGAACACCTACTATGTGTGAACAAGATGCTTTGGGATAAAATATTCTTGTTTCTAGTCCTGATTTTTGAAACAGTCTTTTCAGTGGAGACAAAATCAAATATTCAGGAAATAGATATGAAAGTATTGTGATAACTGCAATGAAGGAAAAACAGAGTAAAATGAACCTGGCAGAGAATAACTTAAAAACAAGGATGGTGTTGCCAGGGTGGAGAGAAAGGAGAGGGGAGTACTACAAGACAGGCAGGCATAGGCCAGTCACAGAGGCTTGTAGACCATGTGAAATAATTTGCTCGTCATCATGAGAGCAATGGAACTCCATTACAATATGTTAAGGTAGAGAATAAAATAAGATATACATTTTGAAATAAACAATAAACAAGATTTACATTTTCAAGATTGACATTTTGAAAAGCTTGCTGTGACTGTGGTGTGAAGAATGGATTGAAGGTCAATACTGGATATAGGTGAGGTCAGTTAGAAAGCTTTAGGAGTAGTCCATTAAGAGATGAAGGTAATTTGTTCCAGGATGTTGGTGGTAGAGACAGAGAAAGAATGATGTGGGAGTTAGGTAAGAAGTAAATGGCAGGACTTGATGATGGGTTAAATGGGCTGGTGAAGATGAGGTGGTATCAGGACTGGCTTGTAGTTTTCTGGTATGTACAACCTACTGGTGTTATGCCAATTACTGAGCTATGGATGACTGGAGGAAGGCCAGGTTTGGAGAGTCAGATCCTAAGTTTGGGGACATCCTGAATTTAATGTCCCCTCAGAGCTTCATGTTGTATAGGCAATTGGATGTATTGGTACAGGAACTTAAAAGGTCTGGGCTACATATTTATATTGGAACTTATTGACAGCTGGCTGGTGTTTGAAGCCAGGAGCTTGCCTAAACCAAGAGTATAGAGTGAAAATAAAGGGAGGGGATATGTTTAATTTCTGAGGAGCTACCTATTTAAAAGACTATACAGAGAAGGATGCCAGGGAAGTTGGGAAGTGGACAGATAAAACCAATGTTGTGTGATACCGTCAGTACCAAGAGTTGAAGGAAGGTAGAGAGAGTCACTTCAAAGGTTAAGTCGAGTAGAATGGAGATTAGCAGGGGCAGGGCCTGGTGGTGAGGCAAATGGGTAGATGTTGGTCAAAGGGTACAAAGTTTCAGTTATGTAGAATGAAAAATTTCTAGAGATCGAATGTATACCACGGAGACTATAGCTAATAATACTGTATTGTGTACTTGAGGTTTGCTAAGAGAATAGATCTTAAGTGTTTTCACCTCACATAGTTATAAAACTATGTGAGGTGATGGATATGTTCATTAGTTTGATTAGAGTAATCAGCTCACTATGTATATGTATATGAAGACATTCTGTTTGTGTATCTTAAAACTAGGTTAAGTAAGATAAAGACCCAAAAATTTCCATTAGATTTACTGTCACTGGGGTCACTGACAACCTCTATAGGGTTGTTTTGGTAGTGAAAAAGATGTAAGTCAGCTTGAAGAGGACTGAGTTTTGGGAGGTGAGAAAATGAAGATGGCAAGCCAAGAAAACACTGTGATTTTGAAAGTTTTGACTAAAGGAGGGTAGCTAGAACAGTAACTGGTTATAGAGTGAAGTCAATAAGTAGGGAGAGAAGAAAAATACAGGAAAAGAAGAGTTATTTGATAGTGTAAGAATTCTGCATAAGTGTGCGAAAATGGGTCTCAACATAAGTTGAGGAACTGACCCAGGATAAGAAAAGGGACATTTTTTCCACAGTAACAGCAAGAAACAGACATGTTTCAGCTCCAAAGGTATGTAGGTTTGGTGTTGGGAAGTTGAGGCCTCCTAATGATTTATCTGTTCTTGTGATGTATGAGGTGAGGTCATTCATCTACTGAGAGTAAAGGAAATTGGGCAGTACTGGTTTCTAAGTGAATTCTGCTAGTGTTTACACGAGCACCCAGCTAAAGGGTGAGTTGAACACACAGTGCAGTGTTGGATGGTTGGATGATTAGAATAGTGGCAATGTAACATTCTTCATTTCAAAAACTTCCTGACATGGTCACCATTAGTGTTTTATTGCTCCCAACATTTTCTTGGCCTGTAATTATATATTTTCATGAGCAATATACATGTCTAATACAAAAAAGCTAGAATTCCCTTCAAGTTTAATTAATTTTATGATGACAAAGCTCAAAAATTAGATTTGAAAAGTTATTTCCATTATGTAATGTTATAATAGTCTAAAAATGCCTGCAAATATTTTATTTTTATGTTTAAACATGATTAGCAGTTACTGTCAACACCAAAAACTCTTTTCTGAAACCATTGAATTGGAATTAACTTTACAGTGGCATATGTGAAGTTAAGAATACGAGCAATTGATGTTAATGAACAAAATATAACTCGTTTTGAGTTTTTTATTAAAACCATGCCTGTCTTTTAAAAGGGTAAGTAATTAAATGTAAATACCAGTGTTTGAAGGAAAAGTTAAAGTTGAGATGTTCATTGAATAAGAATAATGTATCTCAGAAAGTTTAATTTTTCTTGAACTCTGAATTAAATGAAGCACGAATTATATCAGAATGGTTTTTTTCCTTCCCATTTAACAATTTGTCATTCATGTAGAATATTTATATATTTTTAAATTTATAGCTATTATTTCCCATATGTCTTAATGCAAATGCCCTGAAGTTAAATTGGGGGTTGAACAATCTTTTGTTAATTTGTCCAAACTCATGCCAACACAGAATTACTTTTTGACCAATAAAATAAAATTTTATAAAGATTTTTAGTTTGCTGAGTCCGAGAGTCAACATTTTCTCCAACTTTTTGACATGTTTTTAAAAAGGGGCTTTTATTAGAAGCTGTCAGCAATATGTATAGATTAACTTGTATTAATCAAGCCACTGAAACTCTTTTTACTGGGGAGGAATAAGTGTGTGTCTTTGCAATTTGGTCTATATCAAATAAGACAATGGCTTTAGAAGGATGCTAAAAATAAATTACACTGTGATATATTTTCAAACATGCAGGACCAAGTCAAAATATGGGTTTAGCTGCAAATGGTCATTAAGGTTTATTGAGTATATTGAGCAGTTACTGAGGATATACTAAATCTCCTAAATTTCAGTCACTACACTAGGGGGGTTAAGAAGACAAAAGATGAACACATATTTTGCCTTTAAGAAACTAGAATAATCAATAGATGTTTTATAAGAACAGACAAGAGTTACATGCATACAAGTCACTGAGAGGAATCCAAACTATTTGTTCCACTTGTTCTACCTCTAGCTGAATTCTGTGCAGAGTAGCCAAAAGAGGTTCTTGGTATACTTGTCAATGCCATGTGAACCAGCAGTGTTTGGGATAATGAATTGGATAGAGGGTCAGTTCTGGGCACAGGGGCAGTCAGTATCTTATAGGTGGGGCTTCAGGGAGACCATCAGCCTGTGAGAAGTCCTGCTGTGAGGACTGTTCCCAATAGAGATGCCCTCCAGGTGTGGTGACCAGTACATCATGCCTTGTCATGTCTGGAATGTGAATGCAAACCCTTCACAAAGGCACACTCAGACAGAAACGGGAAATGGCAGAAACCATCCATGAGTCAAGAGAAGCAACAAAGAAGCAACAGCCATGAGATAGAGAGGAGGAGGAAGACACAGGATAAGCCATGGGTGAGGCAGAGCCAGAGAGCCGGAAGAAGCCAAAGCCCACACAGAGGCTGAGGCTCTTAGATGGATCATTTCTAAGGATACTTTTAGAACAAAAAGTAATTTGTAGACCCCTCATTGATATTGCATGCTTTCCAGAGGACTGACTGACCTTAGAGCTGAATTTCTGAATTCAATTAATTTATTGAATATCTTTTACAGTCAGTCTTTCCACCTGGGCTAATATAGCTTGATTTTGTATCTCCGTGGCCATCCATAACATGTAACAGGCTCCCTCATGCATCCTCTGTATCTTTCTAGAGCATTCTGTCTAAAACATAAATGGATCAGGCCAACACACAGGTTTTTCCTTCTTTGACTCTGACTGAAAGTATGTTATCGTAATGACTTCTGGCACAAACTACCCTAAATTAGGCCAGACTTCATAGGTTACAGGCACAGTCCTCCACAGAACTCCCCTCACTTTAGACACCAGCTACATGCTCAGCAGTCTTGAAGCCTCCTGCACTTCTGACCAACTCGATACAAATTTGGAGGTTCTACTTCCCTTTCAGGTTTAATAATTCAGTAGAATAAATTATGGAACTCAGGAAAGTGCTTTATTTTGCCATGGTACACTATACTATGAATTATACTTTTATTATAGCAAAAAAGGATACCAGTCAGAGCCAGCCAAAAGAAGAGGCATAAAATAAGAATCCTAAATGTGAAACTTCTGTGTCCTCTTCCCATGGAGTCAGAATGCATCATTTTTCTAGCACATAATTGTAAAGAATGAGCATAGAGTACTATTAGCCAGTGAAGTTCAACTGAACTTTAGTATCCAGAGTTTTTATTGGAATTTCATAATATAGGAATGATTGATTGAATCCTTGGCCATGGGATTGAAATCCATCTTCATCCCTCCTCTTCTTCCTGGATGTTGGGTAGATATCACATGGCTAAAAGCCATAGTTGGTCTTTCTGGTATGGCCACCTCTACCCTGAGTCATCCCATTAGCATAAACTATCTAGAGACTCAGTATGAATCATCTTGTTGGTATAAACTACCAGGGCTTATCATAAATAACAAAGATACCCCTATCACTCAGGAAATTGCAAATATTTAGGGACATTCTCCCAGGAACTGGGGACAAAGACCAGTCAGGTTCTTTATTATATAGGAGTTATCACATTTTGTTTTTTTAAGATATATTTTAATCTCTTTCATATTTTGTATCTCCTGCCTCTCTGATCTTCAATTTAAGTAATTATTTCAGATCAGTCTTCGCACTCACTAATTCCCAATTCCTTCTTTGGCTGTGGATAACTTACTTTCAACTGAGTTTTTAACTTCAAAGATTATGTTTTTTATTTATATTAGTTTCATTCAGTTTTGAAAATATCTGCCTAGTCATTTTGGATAGCCTATTGTTGCTTGCTGATTTTTTTCTCATTTTAGTTTATTTTAATTATTTTATTTTTTCCTGTCTGTAAGCAAAAGGTTGTCATTTTCTATTCTGTAATCAATAATTTTGTGAACTGTAGTTCTAAGGGTTCTAAATTTATTATCACTTGGTTTTCATTATCATATTTGTTTCCTTGTGGATTTGGTGATCCTTGATTTTGAGTTCTTATTTAGTTGATCCTCATCTGTGGGAATAATGAGAGCTTAAATTGGGGATGTTCTTCTCCAGAGAGGTTTTGCTATTGTATCTCCTGGGATGCTATTAACTTGGGATGATTTCTGTTCCTTTCATTGAATCCATCTTAATTTGGGAGTTCTAGTTTTAGCATCCCTACATTGATGTGGGCCTACAACTTTGATTTGTCAGTTACAGGAGACTTTGAGGAAATTTGGGAAGGGGAAAAGCAGGAATAAAGGGGTTCCTAGATATAGCTTTCACAATGATGTCTCCAAACCTCCCTATATGTCAAATATTATGTCCTCTTTGTCTTTCAGCTATTTTATGTGGACTTGCTGAAAGAAGTTACAAATAATTTCCCTGATGGGGCTGTGCAGGACCATTGGTAGAGATGGGCCAGAAGCAGAGAAACCACAGGTCTTTGACCCTTGCTCTGCCATTTTCCCCACTGGTTTGGAGAAACAGTAAATAATTATCTTATTTGACATAATACATTTTATACTGTGATGTAAAAAATGTTATAAATTACATACAAGAAGTTTATAACAAATTATTTTAAAACCTTACAATCCATCTTTTGTGAAATTAACTGAAAAATATACAGAGTAGGGGATTTAAGGAATGTCAGTTAAGTAACAGAGACATTGCTCTTCCTGCTGGGTTACACCTTGGGGAGGGTCTGAACACAGTATATGGAAGGAGGAAGCTGATGAGGAGGGAGATCCAGCAATTTCAGATCAGGGGACCTAGTCTCATTATGAGCTGGCTCTACAAGACTGCCAAGCCTTTGAAAGCTATGGGCATTTTATACAGTATAGGCTGCCACAGATACAGTGACATCTAACGGCCACCGCATACACAGCATGACCTTGTTGGTGATGGTGGTAGGGTGGAATCAATTTGATGTCATTGAGTTGGGCCTGAATTGAAAATGTATTAATCTCATGGCACCTTGAGAAAATGCCTTTCCTGAAAAAGCCTTAGTATCTTCCTCTGCAAAAATGGGACTGCAACTAGTATTATTACTACTGAACACCTCAATTATTTTATTTTGTAGATGTAATAGGTTTTTTGCCCAAATATATGGCAAGTAATTATAGTGAGGCACCAGGTTGCAGCAGAGAAAGAAGTTTAATTGCAGGGCCACCAAGTGAGGAAATGGGAGGAAACTTCAAATCTATCTTTCTGAGTAGTTTAGGGCTAGGGTTTTTAAGGGTTTTGGAGTGGGCTGAGGTGTGGAGATCACTGATTGGTCCAAGAGTGCAGGATGAAGACACTGTATTCTTATCCTAATTTGATTCCTCTTTGGGGCTCTTTAAACTGGTTGGCATCAGCTGTTCTGCTGGAATTCAGAATCTGCTTAAGCAATTCTTAAATAAAATCCTTATGGTTATACCATCAGAAATCTTATGTTTAGGAACAATGGGGACACAAATGGTCGGTATCTAGTGTTATGTGACTTCTGGTTACAAGGAAGTGCAGCCTGATGAATGCTTAATTATAACTATATTTCTGTCCAGAATTCTTGTTAACTCTGTGAGGACAGTTTCAAAAGGCTTTGAAGAAATAGGGACATTTTAGTTTTTATTATTAATTTGCTGGGGAAAAAATTCCATCTTTGGTGTCTTACATTATTGATTTCTTTGGGTTCCAGTGCTAAAGGCTAACTTCCAAATGTGAATGTAAAACCTGTTAAAATCTTAGCCCAAATACCTTTGCTTAGTTAGCCTTTACAGGGCTTTATCAGTTGCCATCCAGGCCCAATGGGTGTTAGTAGAGGTAGGCATGGAGGAAAGTGGTTCCATACCTTCACGGTAGGAGCCAGGGGGCTTTAAGTGAGGTGGACCCAATCACCTACTTCAACCATCTTGCTTTGATACAACCCTGGAGGCAGCTAACCCTTACCCAAAATCACAGGTCTAAAAATAAATGGAGTAGCAGCTCTTTCTCATTACCAGGCTTCTGTTTGTTTCCACATTTGCCTGTTTATTTGTTTCATTGGCTTTTAGGCAGAGAGCATTCTGTAAAATATTTGGAATAGAAAGAAAGATAGAGCACTGAAAATGCAAAGGCACAAGATATAAATCAGAACTACAATTTCCTTGGTGTTGCTCTTGTTTCCTTATCAATGATGTAGATTCTCAGGCATACTCTCAGAGGCTTGAGAAAGCCCTTCTTAAGGACCTTGAACCTTATTTAACAAACACACAATCCTCCATCACCTGGATTCTGGTTACCAAAGAAATGGAAACTGGGCCAAAAATGTACACAATGCTCATGTGCAAAATCCTAAAAGAAACAGAAGCTGGCAACAAAGGATAAGTTACCCTGATGGGCTCATTTTTTCCTAAACACTCCGTAGTTTAAGAATCATTTTTGTTATTAATTGCTTAAACATGATTTTCAAATTTATATAAACATTAGTTAATATTGACTGGAAAAGACTTAGAATTTTTTTCCATTTAATTAAGAAGCAAAAATACCAGGGTAATTATTAAACAAATCAGTGGAAAGGTCAGAGGCTTTAAGTTACAAATTCTGCAGGCGGCAAGCCACCCAGGCACCGAGGCAAGAGACCAAGGACACGAGCTGTTCCAGTATAATAAAATATAAAACAAGAATAGTTATACCAGATATAGATCTTAGATATGATCATATATGAATATCATTAATCATTAGTTGGCAGTAATTACTCTTTATCCCAATATTATAATAATCCTCACTCTACAATCATAACCTAGGAAAAGCCAGGCCATACAGAGATAGGAGCTGAGGGGACATAGTGAGGTGTGACCAGAAGACAAGAGTGCGAGCCTTCTGTTATGCCCAGACAGGGCCACCAGAAGGGCTCCTTGGTCTAGCGGTGACGCCAGCGTCTGGGAAGACACCCGTTGCCAGGCAGACTGTGGTCTAGCGGTAGCGAAAAGTGTCAAGGAACAACACCCGCTACTTAGCAGACCGGGAAAGGGAGTCTCCTTTTCCCCGGGGGAGTTTAGAGAAGACTCTGCTCCTCCATCTCTCGTGGAGGGCCTGACATCAGTCAGGCTTGCCTGCAGTTATCCGGAGGCCTAACCATCTCCCTGTGATGCTGTGCTTCAGTGGTCACACTCCTAGTCCGCCTTCGTGTTCCATCCTGTACACCTGGCTCTGCCTTCTAGATAGCAGTAGTAAATTAGTGAAAGTACTAATAGTCTCTGATATGCAGAAATAATGGCGTAAGCTGTCTTTCTCTCTGTCTCCTCTCCCTCTCTGCCTCGGCTGGCAGGCAGGGAAGGGCCCCCTGTCCAGTGGACACGTGACTCACGTGACCTTACCTATCATTGGAGATGACTCACACTCTTTACCCTGCCCCTTTTGCTTTGTATCTGATAAATAACAGTGCAGCCAGACATTCGGGGCCACTACCGGTCTCCACGCATTGGTGGTAGTGGTCCCCCGGGCCCAGCTGCCTTTTCTTTTATCTCTTTGTCTTGTGTCTTTATTTCTACACTCTCTAGTCGCGGCACACAGGGAGAGATCCACTGACCCTGTGGGGCTGGTCCCTACATCTGGCGATCTGACGTGGGGCTCTCCCTCGCTGTGTGAAGTTGCACCCTGAGTGTGGGATCAGCAGAGGAGTTCAACGAGATATTCCTGAGGATTGCGGTCAATAAACTTGGTGGTAAGCTACAGCGCTCAGAGTATTCTGGGGACACCATGGGACAGGCCAGTACAAAGTACTCAGCTTATTTAAATTTTATAAAAACTCTTCTTAAAGAAGGAGGTGTTAAAGTTTCTACTGAAAAGTTAATTGAAGTATTTGAGGTTGTAGATCTTCTTTGCCCTTGGTTTCCGACTGAGGGAACTTTAGAACTTAAAGGTTGGGTTGAGATTGGCCAACAATTCAAAATTGCTCATAAGGGGGGACATTTTATCCCACCCACCATTTGGTCAATCTGGGCTTCAGTTCGCTTTGTCTTAGACTCCTTACAGACTCAGGAGGACAACATGGAGACTGATCCCTCTTTCCTCTCCTCTGAGGAGGTCGAGGAAGTTCTCAGTTCTTTTTAACCTGAGGATACTGCACAAATTGAGAACATAATTTCACAGGAGGACTTCCACTCTGACATGCCTGCGCCACCGCCACCTACGCCAGAGGCTACCACACCCCCGTTGTCGCTTTATGATGATCTTTTAACTGACCTAAATACACTTATTTCCCCAACCAGCAAAACTCAGTTGAAACATATCAACAGCCATTGCAGCCAGACCCTCCTGTCTCTCCTCACTCTTTCAACGCTGCCGCCGTGCAAATAGCAGACGCGATCAGGCAGCCTGAAAACGAGTCTATAAATTATGTTTCTATGTAGCCCGATACAGAGGCTCCGCTATCTGAACAGCCCAGAAAAGAGGCTTCCAATTCTCGGCCAGGTAATGAGGCCCTCAATCCTATTTCTCCTAATCGGACTCAGTTAGAGTCACAGACTACCTGGAAGCCTGGCTCCTTTCCTGCAAATCGGACTCAGAGTCACAGGCTCCCTGGAAGCCTGGTCCACTTCCTACAAATCAGACTCGGATAGAGTCACAGGCTCCTTTGAAGCCTGGATCCTTTCCTCCTACTCAGACTTGGCTAGAGTTACAGGCTCCCTTGAAGCCTGGTCTGCACTTGCCGTGGCAGCCTGGTTTTCAGGCCCATGAAAGACCTGCTCAGCAGGTAATCTGGTCTCAACCTGGCTTTCAGTTTTTCAACTCTCCTTCTATTCAAAATTCTACCCCTTTTTCTGCTCCTGGTCCAGTCGCGACTGCTGTTGCCAATACTACCATTGCTGCTCATAAGCAACAAATTACATACATCCCTGAAGACGACACTCCGCTTATGAGGGCTATAGTTCAGGCAAGGGAATATGGGGATCCCGAAGCCTGGCAATTTCCTGTAATTTTACAACCTCCAGTACCTGCCACCCCAACAGTACAAAATCACCCACAGCCTGTTGTTGATCCTGCCCAGCAGGCGGCTGACCCCGCAGCTCAACAGGATCAAGAGGCTGATAATCAAGCCCCTCAGCCCGAAACTCAGGCTGCTCAGGGAAATAATCAGCCTCCGCAATTGCCGGCTCCTGGGGCACAGCCAATACCTGGCATTCCCGCTGTTCAGGCGGTAGTTCAGCCTGACCCCATACATCCAGGTCAGGTTCAGCTACGCCCTGCTACTTGGGAAAGTTTTTCTTTTAAATTCCTCAAAGATTTTAAGGAATCAGTGAAACAATATGGCACCAACTCTCCTTTTGTCCGTTCCACATTAAAAGGCTTAGCAGAAGATAAACGTTTGGTGCCCTATGATTGGGAAATTTTAGCAAAATCAGTCTTATCTAAATCCCAATATTTACAGTTCAGGACTTGGTGGGTTGATGCTGTCCAGGAACGCATTCATCTTAATCAGGGCTCCAATCCTCCTGTTAACGTTACAGCTGACCAGTTACTGGGAATGGGTCAATGGGCTGCAATCCGACACCAAACTATACTAAATGATGAGGTTGTTGAACAACTGCAAAAATGTTGCTTAGATGCTTGGGACAAAATTCAAGATGATGGTAAAGTATGCCCATCTTTCACAGCTGTCAGACAGGGACAACACGAACCCTACCCAGACTTCATTGCTCGTCTTCCAGACGCAGCAGAAAAGGCTATTCCTGATAGCCACGGCCAAAGACTTGTTGTAGAACTTATGGTTTATGAACAAGCAAATCCAGATTGTCAGGCGGCTATTCGCCCCGTCAAAGGCAAAATTCCACTTGGTGGTGATATACTCACCTCCTACGTTAAAGCCTGTGAAGGGGTGGGAGGAACTCTGCATACAGCAATGATTATGGCACAAGCTATGGCCTCTATTCTAATGCCTGGACAATTCTCTGGCCAATGCTTCCTATGCGGCCAGAAGGGACTTGCAAAAAGAAATTGCCCTCGGCGTGCAGGTCGCAGTCCTTTACATCACCAACAACAACAACAAAAAACTTTTCAGCAACAAGACGCCCCACCTTCTACTGTATGCCCACGATGCCAAAAGGGCTTTCACTGGGCATCTCAATGCCATTCCAGATTTGATATTGATGGCAATCCTTTACAGCCTTTTAAAAATCAGGGAAACGGGATGAGGGGCCGGCCCCAGGCCCCTTTAAACAATGGGGCATTCCTCAACTCTCAGCCCCTGGCGTCCAGCCAGACGGGAGCCTTCCCAGTTCAATCCATTCAACCTCCACCCCAATTCCCACTTCAGCGATGTAGGGACCAGCCCCACAAGGTCGATGGGTCTCTCCCCGTGTGCCGCGACGAGAGAGTATAGAAATAAAGACACAAGACAAAGAGATAAAAGAAACGGCAGCTGGGCCCGGGGGACCACTACCACCAATGCGTGGAGACCGGTAGTGGCCCCGAATGTCTGGCTGCGCTGTTATTTATTGGATACAAAGCAGAAGGGGCAGGGTAAAGAGTGTGAGTCATCTCCAATGATAGGTAAGGTCACGTGGGTCATGTGTCCACTGGACAGGGGGCCCTTCCCTGCCTGCCAGCCAAGGCAGAGAGGGAGAGGAGACAGAGAGAAAGACAGCTTACGCCATTATTTCTGCATATCAGAGACTATTAGTACTTTCACTAATTTACTACTGCTATCTAGAAGGCAGAGCCAGGTGTACAGGATGGAACACGAAGGCGGACTAGGAGTGTGACCACTGAAGCACAGCATCACAGGGAGACGGTTAGGCCTCCGGATAACTGCAGGCAAGCCTGACTGATGTCAGGCCCTCCACGAGAGATGGAGGAGCAGAGTCTTCTCTAAACTCCCCCGGGGAAAAGGAGACTCCCTTTCCCGGTCTGCTAAGTAGCGGGTGTTGTTCCTTGACACTTTTCGCTACCGCTAGACCACGGTCCACCTGGCAATGGGCGTCTTCCCAGACACTGGCGTCACAGCTAGACCAAGGAGCCCTTTTGGTGGCCCTGTCTGGGTGTAACAGAAGGCTCGCACTCTTGTCTTCTGGTCACACCTCACTATGTCCCCTCAGCTCCTATCTCTGTATGGCCTGGCTTTTCCTAGGTTATGATTGTAGAGTGAGGATTATTATAATATTGGGATAAAGAGTAATTACTACCAACTAATGATTAATGATATTCATATATGATCATATCTAAGATCTATATCTGGTATAACTATTCTTGTTTTATATTTTATTATACTGGAACAGCTCGTGTCCTCGGTCTCTTGCCTCGGCGCCTGGGTGGCTTGCCGCCCACAAAATTTAATTCATTTGAATATCTCCCCTCTAAGAGCTCATTCTTGCAATTATTTTTTACAAACATCTTGGAGATATTTTCCTTTGTAAAAATCCTTTCTGTTTATATTAATGAAAACCTGTTGTTTCGAGTCTGATGGGAAGATCCCAGAAAGTGAGAATCACTGAGAGGTTGCCTGGCTCCTTATTAATCAGGTTTTTTTGGGAAGTATTGGCACATTCCAATTTTCTTAATAATTTAGGACAAGTCCAACCTATTTGAGTGTGTCAACAAAGAAGAAATGTGATATTAAAAAAAGAAAGAAAAAAGATGTGAGGTATTTTGTATGCCTAGAAACAGCACTAAGACATTTACTGACATCAACAGCTTCCAATTCTGACAGTGTTAGAAAGGGAATTTTCAATGGCTGCTTTGAAATAACCCAGAAGACATTTTACACCACAATGAAATCTGCATTCTACTATGTCAGTAACATCAGACAAGATGAGATAAGACAGCAGAGCACAGCCCAGCACATCCCGGCACAGCACAACACACCTCAACACGGCACAACACAACACGCTGCTTCTTCAATTTAAAGCATACACTTCAGCCTAAAATGCAGACTTCCAAGTCCATTAACCCACTTGAGATGAGCAGGGAGACTGCATGCTGGGTGAGCAATACCAACAGAAAGCAACCGTGAGTCAGTTCTTTGAAATGGAATTGATCTTTTCAGTATGCTACCACCAATGTTTTGGAAATGTCCAGGCTAGCAATAGAAAAGAAAAATAAACTAAAAGAAATCAAAATGTTAGTTTGTGTTTACAAATAAATCATGGTTGTTTAGAGAAAAAGTTGACAGCTGGGACTGAGGGGCTCTCTGGAACCTCTTCGCAGACCTTGAGGATGTTGCAGGAAGAAGAGAGAGGGCCTCGTTTGGGAGCTGTTCACCTCTGTCCTAATACAGGGCACCAGGTCCTGTTCCAATGGCAGACAGCATGGGAAGCCATTAATGTGCCTGAGTTCTGCAGTCAGACAGCTGGTGTTGGATCCTCTAACCAACTCTGTGACTGGACAGGTTAGTTAACCTCTTTGAGTCTCAGTTTCTTCCTCTTTAACATGGATATAACAGTACATACTTCACAGGTTTGTTATATGTATGCAATTATGTATGTATAAAACACAGTACTATCTGTTCTTTGTGATAATCATGATTCTAACTATTACAGTGATTATTTTAGCCTTTCTTCTAATGATTTGACAGGAGTTATAGCCTCTTTCCAAGTGAATTATGAAGAGCAAGAGCAAGTGTGGATAATATGGAAGCTCATTCCAGGTAATAAGGAGTGGTGAATATCACATTCATTTTAGTCTAGCCTTTTGGCCACAAGATATTCCTGGACAAATATCATGAAGCATTATCCTAAAGTTGGTTGTAGTTTCCCATAGGAACACTATTATAATTTAATTCCACAAATATGAATTAAGTACCATGATGCCCCAGGCATTGTGCCAGGGCCTGGCTAGTTATAAGGAAGTATAAGATGCTGCTTCCTGCTCAAGGATTCACAATCAAATGAGAAGAGGAAGCCCAGAAACTAGGAAACTTAATACAAGTAAGATTCTGGTGAGTGGGATCAAGTCCAAGGCTGCTTCTGAGGTCAGTCTGCCTGGGTTTAAATCTCAGCTCTACCTCTTATGACATGTGTTTTTCTAACATTTCTGCATCTTGTTTTCCTTTGTGAAATTGGGATTAATAAAAATATTCATTTTGTGAGGTATTGGAAGGATTAAATAAAGTGATTTCTGTAGGGTTTAAGATGCTGGCTTGTCACATAGTAAACCTTGTAATGTTAGATCCACCATTTTTATTCAGTTGGAGCACAGAGAAAATACTAATGCATTTTAATGGGGAGAATAAGGAAACTTCTTTGGTTAGATTTTTTTTTTCTTTTTTAAGTCAGGTATGGTAAGATCTTGAATAGTGGAAGAAGATAGACCAAAAAAGGAGACAGAGAGACAGAGAGAGAGAGAGTGATAGAGACAGAGAGAGAGAGAGAGAGAATAGAAAAAAACATCATCTGCAGAGGGAACTGCTCAGAATGGAGAGTATTCTGCCTATTGAGGGAACGGCAAATAATGTTTAACTAGTAACAGAGCTCCAACTGGACTGGAGGGGAGGGACAGCAGGGCAGTTTGGGTCAGAGTACAGAGACCTCCTTCAATGTGTGCCCTAAAGCTGCTTTCCTATCCATGGATTCAACCTCAATGAAGGAGACCTGTATGCTGGTTAAAGGAAAGATAGCACAACCATAAGCCTATGATTATTTAAAATGTTAAAATAAACTGAGCACAGTGGCTCACACCTGTAATCCCAGCACTTTGGAAAGCCAAGGCAGGAGGATTGCTTGAGCCAGGAGTTCAAGACCAGCCTGGACAATGTAGTGAGACCCATCTCTACAAAAAAATTGTAAAAATTAGCCAGGCGTGGTGGCCTGTGCCTATAGTTCCACCTACTTGGGAGGTTGAGGTGGGAGGATTGCTTGAGACCAGGAGGTTGAGGCTGCAATGAGCTGTGATTGCACCACTACACTCCAGCCTTGGGCAACAGAGTGAGATCCTGTCTGAAAAAAAAAATGCTAAAATGCAGTGCCAAATCTTACAACATGGGTATAATTCTACCTTAATTATATAAGATGACCTCAAATATTATGATGTACCAAATAGGCAAAATAACAACAAATAGAACTAAAGCTTGTGCTAATATTAAAGCTGTAATGAGAATTTGTCTGGTAGAATTTAGAAGGACTTTGCCAGGTATGATTTATATATGTATATAAAAATGACCTGTGACATTAAATGGCCAAAATAATAATCATTCCTTTGATTTCAGATATATCCTGAAATATTTGAAGCAAATATATATATTTGATATATTGATATATTTGAGGCAAATATGTCATTTACCTCAAAAGTAGACACTACAGAAGGGAATTGCTGGGTCATATGATAACTCTGTTAATATTTTGAGTATTGTCTAACTCTTTTCTAAAGTGTCTGCACCATTTGACACCCCCACCATCAAAGTATGAGGGTTCCAATTTCTCTACATCCTTATCAACATTAGTTATTGTCTATCTTTTTTATTGTAGCTACCCTGATGGGTGTGAAGTGGTATCTCATGGCTTTAATTTTTCTTTCCCTAATGACCAATGATATCAAGCATCTTTTCATATGCTATTTGTCATTTGTATGTTTTCTTTGGAGAAATGACTATTCCAGTCTTTTGTCCATTTTAAAATTGTGCCACTTTTTTAAGGTCGAATTGTAAGTGTGTGGGTTTGTTTTTTTTATCTTTGGATGTATTGTACATATAATTCACTTTTCTGGTATATGTTTTGCAAATATTTTCTCCCATTCTGTAGGTTGTCTTTTCACTTTCTTGATGGTGATGGTATTTGAAGCTAAAAAGTTTAAAAACTTTTGATGATATTTAGTTTACCTTCTTTTTCTGTTGCTTGATTATGGCTTGTACTTGTGCTTTCAGTGTCAGAGCTAAGATACCATTGGCTGATCCACAGTTATGAAGATGTATCCATGTTTTCTTCTAAGGGTTTTTATAGTTTTAGCTCTTACATTTGGGTCTACACATTTTTTAGTTAATTTTTGTATATGGTGTGACATAGGAGTCCAACTTTTTTCTTTTTCATGGGGATATCTAGTTATTCCAGTATCATTTGTTTAAACAACTGTTCTTGTTCCCCCTGAATTGTCTTGGCAGCCTTGTCAAAAATCAATTGACCATAAATGTGAGGATTTATTTCTGGCATTTCTATTTTAATCCATAGATCTATATGTCTATCTTCATGCCAGTACCAGTAAGGTCTTGATTACTGTATCTTTGTAGTAAGATTCGAGATCAAAAGATGTGATTCCTCACACTTTTTTTTTTCTTATTCAATATTTTCTGGCTATTAAGGTTCTGTATTAGTTGGGGTTCTCTAGAGGAATAGTATAGATGTATATATGAAGGGGAGTTTATTAAGGAGTATTGACTCACACAGTCACAAAGTGAAGTCCCACAATAGGCCGTCTGCAAGCTGAGGAGCAAGGAAGCCCAACCAAGTCCCAAAACCTCAAAAGTAGGGAAGCCAACAGTGCAGCCTTCAGTCTGTGGCCAAAGGCCCATGAGCCCCTGGAAAACCACTGGTGTAAATCCAAGAGTCCAAAAGCTGAAGAGCTTGGAGTCTGATGTTCGAGGGCAGGAAGCACCCAGCACGGGAGAAAGATGAAGTCCAGAAGACTCAGCAAGTCCAGTCCTTCCACTTTCTTCTGCCTGCTTTTATCCTGTCTGTGCTGGCAGCTGATTAGATGGTGCCCACCCCCAGTTTGAGGGTGGGTCTGTCTCTCCCTGTCCACTGACTCTATTGTTAATCTCCTTTGGCAACACCCTCACAGACACACTCAGGAACAATACTTTGCATCCTTCAGTCCAATCAAGTTGACACTCAGTATCAACCATCACAGCTTCCTTGCATTTTAACAGAAATTTTAGGACCAGCTTGTCAATTTATGCAAAAAAGCAACCTGAAATTTCGAAAAGTATTGCATTAAATCTGTGGATCAATTTGGAGCATATTGCCATCTTAACACCATTAAGACTTTTAATCCATGAATATAGAAGGTCTTTACATTATTTAGGTCTACTTTAAATATTTCATTGACATTTTGTAGTTTTCAGTGTATAAGTCTTGCATTTCTTTTGTTAATGTATTTTATTCTTTCTATATTATTGTAAACAAAATTATTTTCTTAATTTTATTTTTTGGATCCTTTAATGCTATTATTCATAAATACAACACATTTTTCTCTTTTGTTGTTATATCCTACTGTCTTGCTAAACTTGTTTATTAGTTCTAATAATTCTTTTTAGTGAAGTCCTTAGAATTATCTGTATTCAAGATGTCACATACAAATAGAGATAGTTTTACTTCTTCCTTTCCAATATGGATATCTTTTATTTCTTTTTCTTGTCTAATTCCCCTGGCAAGAAACAATTAGATGTAATTTTGATAATATCTATGTACTTTGTCTATGATAATATCAGGCTACTTTCAAATTAAATATTTTGTTTTACTAGACTTTACCTTGGCTGCTGGCTTTTCAAGCATCAGAGATATATAATAGTCAAGCTGCAGAAAGGCAGCCCTGCCAGAGATTTCCATGCAGCATCAGATTGAGACAAATAGAATGAGAATTTAGTCCTCTCTACCCCAGTCTACTTTGAAGATTAGGTAGAAATACAAAGAGAACAGCTAGTGGTTACTGAATGCTTGCTATGTGCAAGGTACTAAGCCAAGAGCTTTTGTCAATAATCTTATTTCTCAAGATAAATCAATGATAGATAAGATTAATATCACAATTTAATACAGAAAGCCAAGTTCAGAGGGACCAAACAAGTTGTAACAAATTATATGGCTAGAGATTGTGGCTGTATGAATAAACAAATGTATGCATGTGAGTGTTTTCCAGAGAGAACAGCGTTATTACCTAAGAGGAACCTTCTACACTAAGAAAGTCTAGGATTTTCTATAAGAAAAAAGAGGCTGTCTTATCAGTGTTCATAGACCCACTGTTAAAGATACATTCATAATGTCATTGTTAGGGGATAGATGCTCTTAAAAATATTGACTTCTGCCCTATGAATAGTACTCTAAAGAGTGTATTGTGAGGAAAATAAGCAAATATATGACCCCCTCTAAGTTTAGTAAAGTTCTTCAAAGGTCGCTTTCCCCATTGACATTATCTGATTTGATCTCATTAATACAATGCTTATATTTTAGTTTTTCCTCATATAGACCTTATACATATTTTTCTAGATTTGTACCTAAGTTTTTTGTGTGTGTTAATGCAAATGGTATTTGTGTTTTTCATTTTAAATTTCAATTGATCATTGCAGTTGTATAAAAAAAGTTGACTTCTGTATGTTAACGTTGTGGCCTGCAACTTTGCTATAATTGCTTATTTCCAGGAATTTTGTCAATTCTTGCAGATTTTCTTCATAGGAAATGGTATCATCTGAGGACAAAGAATTTTATTTCTTCCTTCTCAACCTGTACACCCTTTATATCCTTTTCTTGTCTTATTCTGTTAGATAGAACTTCCAGAGCAATGCAGAATATAGTGAGAGAGAATACCCTAACCTCATTCCCAATTTTAGGGGAAAATCATCTAGTTTCTCACCATTAAGTATAATGTTAGCTGGATATTTTTTGGTGATGTTCTTTATCAAATTGAAGAAGTTCTCTACTCCTACTTTTCTGAGAGGTTTTATCATAAATTGGTTTTGAATTTTGCCAAATGCTTTTTCTGCATCTATCAGTATTATAATTTTTCTTCTTAGCCTGCTGATATGATGAATTAATTGATTTTTGGTATCAAACCAGCCTTACATACTCAGAATAAATACTATGTGGCCATGATTTATAGTTGCTTTTATACATCGTTGGATTTATTTTGCTAATATTTCTTGAGGAGTTTTGTGTCTCTGTTCGTGAAAGACATTGGTTCATAATTTTTTTTTTCTTGTAATGTCTCTGGTTTTTTTGGTATTAGGGTAATGCTGGCTTCATAGAATGAGTTCAGAAGTATTCCCTCTGCTTCTATTTTCTGGAAGAGATTACAGGGTATTGGTATAATTTCTTTCTAAGATATTTGGTAGAATTTTCCAGGAAAACTATCTAGGACTATTGTTTTCTCTTTTGAAAGGATGTTCAAGCTCAGTCGCCCCCGCCAGCCTGTTCACCGTGTTATCCTGCTGCTCTGCTGCCCCACTCCTCCACCAGTCACGATGGAAGAAGAGATCGCCACGCTTGCCATTGACAATGGCTCCAGCATGTGCAAAGCTGGCTTTGCTGGGGACGATGCCCCCCAAGCTGTGTTTCCCTCCATCATTGGGCACCCCCGGCACAAGAGCATGATGGTGGGCATGGGCCAGAAGGACTCCTACGTGGGCGACAAGGCCCAGAGCAAGCCGGCATCCTGACCCTGAAGTACCCCATTGAGCATGGCATCGTCACCAACTGGGACGACATGGAGAAGATCTGGGACCACACCTTCTACAATGAGCTGTGCGTGGCCCTGGAGGAGCACCCAGTGCTGCTGATCGAGGCCTGCCCGAACCCCAAGGCCAACAGAGAGAAGATGACTCAGATCATGTTTGAGACCTTCAACTCCCCGGCCATGTATGTGGCCATCCAGCCCGTGCTATCCCTCTACGCCTCTGGGCGCACCAGTGGCATTGTCAGGGACTCTGGAGATGGGGTCAGGGTCACTCACACGGTGCCCATCTACGTGGGCTATGCCCTCCCACATGCCGTCCTGCATCTGGACCTGGCTGGCAGGGACCTGACAGGCTACCTCATGAAGATCCTCACCGAGCGTGGCTACAGCTTCACCACCTCGGCCCAGCGGGAGATCATGCCCCACATCAGGGAGAAGCTGTGCTACATCACCCTGGACTTCGAGAAGGAGATGGCCACGGCCGCATCTTCCTCCTCCCTGGAGAAGAGCTAGAGCTGCCCAATGGCCAGGTCATCACCATCGGCAATAAGCCATCCCGGTGCCACTAATGTGGCAAAGCCAAAATTTTAACCAAATCTGATTTCAGTGCTCTGACCCAGAAAGTTCTTATGCTCACATCAGCTATTCAGATGTTAACATTTGGTATTTTAAATTACAGAATGATACATATCTGAGATAGACCTCTTCAAGTCTTCCTTATAAATTAGAAACTAAAGATTTTTCAAACAGAAATACTTTCAACTTTTCAAGAAGCTTTAATTTTGTCTCATAAGATGTGAATCGACTGGATCTGTTATTTAGAATGATTAGCACACTGGGAGTACTGGCAGCAAAGCCTTTGAAATTGATAAAAATATGTGCTGTAATCGGACAGAGATCATCCATTTGTTACGCCATTCCAAAGTTCCCTGTTATTGCCTGTGACATTTCCCAAATCATCTAGAGATTCAAGCTGTTAGAACAGTTTCTTTTATCAGTCATCTCCAGAGGCTCATCAAACTGAGAATTGTATAATTTTGTATTTTTAAATCCATGTGGCACTTGCCACAGACAGAACCTTTGGAAGATGATATTGTTGGTGTCTAGCCTTTGGTTAAGATCAACACTTGATGGGTGATTTTTAATATTAATAAAAACAGCTAGCTTAATGTTAAGTCTTTGTTCTTTTAAAAGACTGAAGAGAAGAGAAATAGAGTAACTACACTTGTGATATCACCTAGTATATATTAATACATTAAATATGAAAATTCAGTGAAAACTCTACTTTCAAATTTTATTCTTAATATCCATTACCCACATTTATACTTTGTCATTATGTGTTTATAATTATATCTAATTTCATGTTGGTGTGGGTATCTTCACAAACATCTAATAGACATAGAGTTTTTAAAAAAATGGTATGTGTTGGCCGGGTGCAGTGGCTCACACCTGTAATCCCAGCACTCTGGGAGGCCAAAGCTGGCGGATTGCCTGAGCTCAGGAGTTCGAGACCAGCCTGGGTAACACGGTGAAACCCTGTCTCTACTAAAATACAGAAAATTAGCCAGGCATGGTGGCATGTGCCTGTAGTCCCAGCTACTCGGGAGGTGAGGCAGGAGAATTGCTTGAAAACAGGAGGTGAGGTTGCAGTGAGCTGAGATTGTGCCACTGCACTCCAGCCTGGGCGACAGAGCAAGACTCCATCTGCCCCCCCCAAAAAAATAATATGTGTATTCTTTCAATTTTTTTCCCCTTTAGGTTTACAAAGAAATAATATTGCCTCAGATGACCACTTCTTTGTTATTGTTCTTTACAGGATGAATAAAGAAACATCAACATTGTTAAAGAAAACCCAGTGAAAAATATAGCTAACAAGTTTCTAAAAACTCTCACTAATCCCAAGAACTAGACTACAACCTGATTAGCTTGTATGTGTGCTGGTTCCAGTTTCTAGACTTAATATTATACTGGTGAGAGCAGCAGTATTGGTTTCTAGAGATTACCAATTTATAAAGTGTTATATTGCTGTTACACTGTTCACATGGGTTTGGAGAAACTGGGAAAGCATCATTACCCATCTTCCAAATTCCCATTACATTTTTTCCTATAGCTTTTCTTTATTTTATTTTCTTATAGGTAAAATGGAATGGCAGAGCAGTGTGTTTCTGAGAGTTCCATTGCTTCTGAAGTGATACTTGATACCTGATAATGGATTCTGTTCTTTGTTGACATTTGGAAAATCACTTTCTTAATTCATTACAGAACAGGAGCATGGTTAAGAACACAGTCTGATGCCAGACAGCCAGGTGCAATCCCAGCTGTGCCACATATGAGTTGCATAATTTCAAGCCAGTCACTTAACATATTTTAGTTTCCTAACCTGTAAATGGGCATATAGTATTACTTATATCTGGCTCATTGGAAATATTAAATAAATATTAGTTTATTATGAATGATAGTATTTATTCCCAACCCATGAGTAGTAGTGTATTTTTTATGTTCCTGATCTAGCTGATAGAAAAGTCGATTGGGTTTGTAACTTTGACTTCCTCTATTAACATTTCTAAAGCCAGTTCACCAGAATGCTTCAGCATGGTTTGTTTGTTTGTTTTTGAGACGGAGTCTCACTCTCTCACCCAAGTTGGAGTGCAGTGACGCAGTCTTGGCTCGCTGCAACCTCTTCTTCTGGGGTTCAAATGATTCTCCTGCCTCAGCCTCCCAAGTAGCTGGGACTACAGGCGCGTGCCACCGCAGCCGGCTAATTTTTTGTAGAGATGGGGTTTCACCATGTTAGCCAGGATGGTCTCGATCTCCTGACCTCATGATCCACCCACCTAGGCATCCCAGAGTGCTGGGATTACAGGCGTGAGCCAACGCGCCCAGTCTTCACTGTGTATTTTTTTAAAGGAGGTCATGAAGGAGCCAATATTTAGATTAGTTTTATAGTGTGTTTGATTTCAGAAAATGTTTTGAGTCCTGCAATGTAAGTTAATTAAAAAAAAAAAAAGAGACACCCAGCAAATCTTGGGCTTTTTGAAAACCGGGATCATATCTCCAGAACACTTGAGAAACGTTTTTCCACTCAGGAAGAAACATGCCAAGTTCAATTGTTCTTAGGTAATTTAAGCTAAAAGAATCTGATTTCTCCAAAGGAAATGTGGTCAAGACAAATAATCTGTACTCATACAGAAAGTGCCAGGGAATCCATTGTAGATACTGCTTTTCAGGAGCTGAGTGAAGTGAGTTTAGAAAGTATGAATTTGGATTGCCTGGTCAGTCTTATACCCTCTAAGTGGCTGCATAAGCACAAATTAGGAAAGCATTATTCATGAAAGATAGACTCCACTCCAAATGAATGTGTAACTATTAGATCCATCCAAAAGAAACTTCCCTCGAATTCCCTTTGTCTCGATTTATGCTTTCGGCATTTCTAGACACATCTCAGTGTTAAAATCTCTCTTCCATACAATTAGCTTGTATAGCTGCTGGGGTAGAATATGATATCTGCTCTTCCAGTCCCAAGAGTAATTTCTGGACCAAGCATTGCAGTGGAGATGTACGTGCAATGCAAGGTACAGGAATGCACTTTGATGATTTTCCACCTATGCAGATTACGTGCTCCATGTGAAACTTTACTTTCTGCTTTGGCATGAGAGATACTGAAATATGGTGGGGTTAGAAGTTAAACAATAAAAGTTTGGCCACTCCCTAGTATCAGTGAAGGGTGACACCAGCTTTTCATGGCTCACAGCATTGGTTGGAGAATAGAATAACCTCTTCAATAAAGTTTAAGGTTATACAAAGTAAGTCTCAAGCCAGATTTGTTCACTGGATATTTACTATATGTGGCAGGCATTGCCCTGGGAGCTGTGGTGCGTGTGAACAAGATGGGGTCCCTGCCCTGGATGGGAGCAGGAGAAACATTCTGAAGGGATGTAGGAATGGGAAATGCATCCTGGTAGATTGCAGTACATCAATAAAACTTCCTAATAACCCCGAGGAAAAGAAAGGCTAAACAACAGGCCCAACATGACAAGTGACAGTGTTAGAAAAGAGATAAGACTGAGTACATTAATAATGAGTATTAAATAAACATCAGAGATAAAAAAGACTACAATTCAGCTAAATCACGTCGATCTGTGGAAATGAATTCTAGGCTGTGCATTACTGAGAAGATGGGACTTTATTTGGTTTCCGTAGGATACAAACAATGAAAAAGGAGAATATGTGCATGAGAGAGGACAGGTTAAGAGGGGTGGACAGAAAGAGAGAGAGAGAAAGGGAGAAACGGAGAATTGCAGGTGGACAGTAAAGAACAAAAGATTTCGGAGGTAGGAAAGGCCTCATTGCATCCAGAGGATGTTCAGTGAAGGACAAAGCTGGAGCCCTGGGTTGATGGGAGGTGAAAAACCTGGAGGTGCATCTTGTGGCTAGAAGGTTAAAGTCCTTGGAGAAATGAGCCTTTGGAAGGTTTTGCAGAGGGTAGTTTTTGGAGATTACTTCTCGGGAAAGAAGTGAATTTAGGAGATGAGGAAGTGTGGGTCTGAATTGCCTGATCTTATCTTGTCCTCTAGAAGTGGAAGAGTGGTTTAGGGTGATTAACTTGTGTGCATGATAGATTAGAATGGCAGCCGAGCGGGCACAGTTATCAGTCTATGGTGTAAGTCCAGATGAGAAGAGAAAATGTCTGGGAAAGGCTGGTATGGTGGTGATAGCTAATTGTGTACCCCTCCATCCATCATCCCCTTCCTTCATAGGAACGGAAACCTAATTTTCTGCTGGGCACAGTTCCAGCCAGCTCTAAAACATCATGTTTTTCACACTCCTTGCAATTGCATGTGGCACGTGGCTGAATTCTGTCCAGTGAGATGTAAGAAATATGTATGGACTGCCAGAAAAGGATGCTGTCTGTTTTCATTGCCTTCCTCCTGGCTTGGAAGGGGCTATATGATAGCTGGAGATCTGCCTGCTCTCCTGGACCACAAAGTGCCCCAAAGATAGCAAAATGTGTGAGGATGGCAGCTTAGAAAGGAAGGGAGGACACAGCTCCTGATCACTTCACAGGGCTGCCACAGCGGTTCTGGATGCCTAATCAGGATTATTTTTTATGGGGGAAAAAATAAATGTTTACCTTGTTTGGGCCTCTTTTACTTGGAGTTTTTCTATGTTAAGAAACCAGACTTGACCCCAACTAAGAAAATGTTAAGTGACAGAAGGTGAAGAAATGGTAGATAAAAAAACTATTCATTAGCATTAGTTGGAGAAGTGACAGGTTGTTCCAGCCACAGCTTCTATTTTGTCAACATGGCCTCCTTGACATTTCAAAGCATGGGAGAGAAGGCAGATTCCTAGTTGTGCTCATGCAACTTAGAAAGCATGATTAAGCTTAGGCTGCTCAGATGCATCCTGGGAGGAGGTACTTGTGAGTGCTTATGCTCAGGTTAAGAGATGATTTTCCTGAAGTTTGTATGTATTAGGTCTCTTTTTCACATTACAGTATTCTTCTCCTTCCCCTCCCCATTCAGATACTTCCTCAGCTACTGTGACTCTTATATATTTTTGGCATCTTATGACACTATAGACTGATACTACAGATTCTTTCAGGAAGAAAATAGAGATGGGGGTCTTGCTATGTTACCAAAGCTGGTCTCAAACTCCTGGCCTCAAGTGATCCTCAAGCATTTTTACTTTTGATACCCCCAAATCACAAGGAATCCTTTAACGAGACCAAAGTCAATGAGGGCTGCAAAACACCTCCTGATGCTTGTCTACTTAAACTAGAAGTAGGCGGCAAAAAGCGATTTATCCTAAGGGTTTTAATCCAGATCTTATATAGTGAGATGTGCCTAGAGCAGTATGGCATCAGTAGCAGCATGAAGAATTTGAACCGCTGAACAAGAAACTTAACAAGAACTTAAGTAGGTGTGACTCAGAGATGTTGGTCTCATTAGTGGGAAAGGCAGCAGATTGTATAAAGATGCCATTTGGTTTAGACATGTTGGATTTGGTCTAGACATGTTGGATTTCAGATGATGCAACATATTCATATGGAAATGTCTAGTATAATTATAGAACCAGACAATGTAAGCATTGCAGGAGACCAGGCCACCAGTGGTCATCTTCTCCATGCTTGTACACCTACACATTGCAAGAAACTCATTAATCAGCTAGCTCATCCTTTTACTTGGCTGGCTGACCCACAGGCCAGGCTTTTCATGGCTGTTTCTGTTTCTCCTGACCTGATTTCCCTGAACACAGTTAATGGGCCCAGGGTGGACACCTGACCAAGACTGGTCCACTGAGATTCTTTCTCAGAAATTTGGAATTCAGACTGACATCCATCATATCAGTTTCTTTAAAGAGTGGCTGTATCCTACCCTGGGGGCTGGAAGCAAAAGACAGACAAACATTGGTTAAAAAAAAACAAACCTCTGGAAAATTTTGCTATTTCTGATTCTTGCCCCTTCCTGAGGCTCAGCAAAATCCATCCTTTGTGGTTCCATGGAATTTCCCACTTTTCTCATAATAAAACCTTTATTGCTCAAGGTGCCTCAAATTGGTTTCGCTTAACTTGCCACCAAATGATCTTTACAAAGAACACATAGAATATGAACATTCTTTAGTATTACCATGGTCTGAGCACCTGGCAGGGGTCACAAAGAACCCTAGCGGAAACACATCGGACAGAACATGATGCCATTTTTTCCAAGTCACAAGGACAGGTCACAAGTGCACCCAGGACTCACTTGTCCTCTTTGCATACTGTGTCTAGCTGACTACCAAAGCCTTGGAAAGGTGCCAACATGCCAGTACTTCCTATCTACTTTGACATGATACACTACTAAATATGGGTAGGTTTTGATGTAATAACCTGATATTTTGGTTGTGGGGAATTACCAAATTGGAAAAGAGAGAGCCCACACCAAAAGCAGGGTAATCAGGCAACAACTGAACCACGGAGGATTTCTCAAGGAAAATGCAGTGCTCTTCATTGATTTGGCAGCAAACAAATTCCAAGTGTTTCATGTTTCTCCTCTGGGTTGCCATGTGTATTAGTCTGTTCTCATGCTGCTTATAAAGAACTACACATGACTGGGTAATTTATAAAGAAAAGAGGTTTAATTCACTCACAGTTCTGCCGGGCTGGGGAGGCCTCAGGAAAGTTATGACTATGGTAGAAGGGGAAGCAAACATGTCCTTCACATGGTGGCAGAAAGGAGAAGAATGAGTGCCGAGACCAGCTCGGTCATAGAGACCCTAACCCAGCGGCACTAGAGGAATTAAGACAAAGACACAGAAATAGAGTGCAGAGTCGGAATCGTGGGCCCACAGCCTTCAGAGCTGAGAGCCACGAACAGAGTTTGACCCACATATTTATTGACAGCAAGCCAGTGATAAGCATTATTTCTATGGATTATAGATTAGCTAAAAGCATTCCTTACGGGAAACAAAGGGACAGACTCTGGCTTGTTATCCATAGCAGGAAGATGTCCTTAAGGCACAGATCGCTCATGCTATTGTTTGTGGTTTAGGAACGCCTTGAGCGGTTTTCTGCCCTGGGTGGGCCAGGTGTTCCTTGGCCTCATTCTGGTAAACCAACAACCTCCAGTGTGGGCGTCATAGCCATCATGAGCATGTCACCGTGCTGCAGAGATTTTGTTTATGGCTAGTTTCTCATGGCCTGTTTATGGCCAGATTTGGGGGGACTGTTCCTAGCAGGAGCTGAGCCAAAGGGGAAACCCCTTATAAAACCATAAGATTTTGTGAGAACTTACTCACCATCATGAGAACAGCAGCATGGGGGCAATTGCTTCCATGATTCAACCACCTTATCCTGGGTGCCTCCCATGACCTATGGGGATTATGGGAATTATAATTCAAGATGAGATTTGGGTGAGGACACAGCCAACCCATATCACCATGTATGTACATCTGTGTTCTCTTAGGCATTAAAGATGCTGCCTCTGGGCATGGAAGGCTTTACTTTTACAAATTTAGGAGTGAAACATCAACATAGAAACAGGGAAGCAAAGCAGCTTAGTTTTTAGAATGACTTCAACTTTGTTCTCTGCTTTCTGTAAATCAATCAATGAAAGAATGTCTAAAAACTTTGAGACAGACGGGATTCAAAATGTTTTATGATTCATAATGTGCTTCAAATGTTAGCTGACTACCAAAAGCTGCAGTACATATCAGGCTTTGAAGCACCCCTCTCTCCTTGCCCCATCCTTACTTCCTCATTTTCCTAGGGGTAAAAGATAGGGAAGGAGTAATATTCATACGTTATGTTGGATATGTAATGTTCTGTAGCCAGAAGCCAGGCAGTGAAATGTATAGGGTTGGTACAACAGTAATCAAGGTTTTTGCCCAAGTAATGGCAAAAACCTCAATTGCTTTTGCACCAACCAATATTAAGATGAGAGCTAGAATTAAGATGTTTCCTTGGTCATTCATTGTAAAAAATTGATGATTATTCTACTAGAAGTGCACATTTAAAATTCTTTCATGTATAATAAATTGCTAGTCATGAAGTGTAAAGAACTACAAGAAGTGTAAACATGTCAGTTTTTCACAGAGATGAATATTAATGAAGGACATAACCCTTGTTTACATATTTAGACAAAATTGTGAGATTTCTTGACTTGCTATTACCTTAGCAAATCTCAAAAGTGATTAACGGTTATTTCTCTTTGCTTTTTAAAAAATAGTGTTTGGCCTGATTTTGCTGTTGGATGGGGCCATCCAAGTGTCACAATAATAGGAGAGTTTTATTTTGGGATGATTTAGACTTCTTTGCATACTACTTTTTGCATGGTAACACATTATTCTGCTTTAGAAAGATTTTGCAAATTCCCCATGTTTCAGAAAGAGTCAAAGCAAATGCCCAGTTTTTTCCCTCAGGGTGTTTAGTTGGGACCCAAAGAATGACAGGGGAGGGGACGGCCACCTTACAGACCGTGGACATATAGGACAGAGCAGCCTTTAATTATCAAAATGCTCATCAAACAACTGGTGCAAGTCTACATTATAAAGTGGGCTGGCAGATTTATTTCCAAATGTGTTTTTCTTCTCGTTTTGTTTTTGGTTCATTTGAGGCAAAGAATGTTCCATTGGTTACCTGATTAAACATAAAATTGCTGTTTTCTTAGATTGCCTATTATCAGAGGTAGGTATTAAGCTAGCTATTAATGGTTTGAAATTATTCAAGTTGTGAAAGTGCTATAGATTCGTGAATATTCAGTTCTTGGAAGACTAGAATACATAAAGGAGCTCATTCCTGTGCAGAGGATAAGAACTGGATAAGGGGAAGTGTTGGTTATTCAGGGACAGTTTTTTTTTAATTGTTGACTATATACATATACCTATATATATATAGGTATATGTATATATGTATATAGTTAACTACATATATTTTTAGGTATTTAAAAATAACATTTTAAGTTAAAAATGTTGCATATTATAGTTAAATTCTATACCTCAAATCACATGGGATGTATTAATTTTGCTTTCAGCTTAGTTCCTCTTTACTCATTTGGGCAGTTTAGGTCATAGTACATGTAATATATGATTCTCTGCCAAATAGTATAAAACAAATTTATGTAAATTTTTCCAAAGTACAAAAGTACTTCACAGAGTGATACGATCAGTGAAGGAAGGATGTCTAAAAAAGTTTGGGAAATGCTATGTTTTGTGTTCTCTCTTTGGGATTCACAAAGTTAATTCTCAGAAGTCTTTTAATAAAAAAGGTGTTTAGCTAGAGATTTGCCAAGCAAAAACCTTCTCTGAAGTACTGTCTATGAATATCTCCCAGAAGCTTTGGGAAATGCTGCTGGAAAGCATGGTAATTTGATCAACTCTTGTGCTGAGGCCTCTTATAGAAGTCAAATAGCACACAGTGAAACTGTCTTGATGATGAGCCCACTCAGACATTGGTATTCTCTTGTCCCATTAGCTAGATTTCTGCCTTAAGTTGTTCTCTGTTTGTTGCTCTTGTTTTTGAGTTACTTTTTAAAGTCCTAAACTAGGTCACTACTGGCTGCTCCATAACAAAATCCCCAATTGACACCCTAGACCTCTTATGAATAGGACTCTTTCCTCTGAGCCCATGTGCTCTTGGGACCAGCTCCCGAGGGCATGACTCTGGACATAGTGATAGGCTGCCTGCCTACTTGCATGTCTGCATATTACTTGCCAGTTAAACCACCATGAATAGCCTGGGTTTCTTGTGTTTGTGCAAAACCATAGATATTGGATGTCATTCATTTAACACATATTTATTGAGTGTCTACTCTGTGTCAGACATTCTTCTAGACTCTGAGTACACCAGGGAATATATCAGATAACTTCTCTGCTGTAATGATACTGATGGTTGGGGAGCCAGGTAACAAACACATCGGTAAACAGTGATGTATGCTGTGAATTGGATATGAGGATTGAAAATTCTAGAGTCACAGAACATATGGTGATTTTAGATGTTGTGGGTTAATAAAACTCGCCCTGCATGAGAACCTGAGATTCAGTCCAGCTGTCTAGATCTGTTTCTCTGGTAGTCCGATAAGGGTAAGCATGCCAACTATATTATTAAGCAAGCTTGCTTATGATAAAAATGATGTCACATTAGCAAATTGCATCTGAACCAGAGGCACCGCAAATAAACTCTAAGTTTATTTATTTATATGGAGGTGCTATGCTTTAGGCTTCTTTGAGTCCATGAGTCTTGTAATCAGCATGCTGGTTGTGGAGAGTCTATAAAAAATGCCTGTAGATTTATTGCAAGAGTTATTAGTTCTTGTGGGGCAGAAGGCATTTAAGCCAGGACAATTCCTGCAGTGTGTGACATGGATCTCTTCCTGCCCCATTGTGGACGATAGCACATGAGTTGCTGCAAGGATGCCCAATGCTGTAGAGGGACCCTTGAGACTATGGTTTTAGCAGGCTCAATTTTGTTCCTGTCCTTTTTAGTGAATTGGAGTCCTGCGTGGTGCACAGTTGTCTTATGAGATGACACGTTAAGTGTAACCTAATAAGGTCTCCTGATGGGTGCAGCAAAAGAGGTGATCATAATGAGCAGAACACAAGTGAGGGAGGGAGACAGGTGAAGATGGTCTCAGGCAGGGGGAAGAGCAGGCACGGAGGCCCTGGGGTAGGAGCAAGTTTGTCATGATGAAAGAGGAGCAAGAATGCAAGTGACGCAAAAGATTCGTGAGAACTTCTGCATCTGTGAATTCATGCATGTGCCTAAACTTTTGGAGAGTAGGTGTGGTCATGGGAGTAACACAACCGAATGCAGTGTTCTCAAAGTGCTGTTGGGATCACTTCATTCCTTTTGTAAAATATTCATTAATGCTGAAAAAAATTGAATTCTGATGCTGTTTTGAAGGAACGAAACTGTGACTTATGTTCACAATATACAGAGCTGCTTTTATGTGCCTTTGTGGCCAATATCACATTCCCTGTAGATACACATTTTTCCCAATTTGGGAAACTCGGGGAGAGACAGCTACCCCTATTATCACCTCCCTCTTCCTGTGACCCCAACCCTTCATATGCTTTATGTAACTGACACTCTCAGGGTTAGATGAGCATTACTGTCTTTAGTCTTCAGATGCAAAAGTTAAATGACAGGATCGCGGGTATGCCCTAAGGTGGTGGAACTGAGATATGAACTCAGATCTTTCGACATTTGTTTTTCTACTGCCCCCTGGCGGTGGCGATCTTTGATCAATGAGACACGTATTTGGTTCGCTCCTTTTCCTTTTTAGGTAACTGAACCTTCCTGTGGAGTCTCTCTGCATTTCCCTCATTCCTAAAGAGTCAGTTCCTGTTCAGAATCTCATATTTGGACCTTTAATAGCCTCTGACTTGCTCTGGCTGTTTCCAGACATGGTCTCAGTCATTCCACTTCTGCGATCATTCCCCAGGCTGTGATCATTGGTAAGCTATTATCAGAATGGACCATCTATTTCGGATACTCTATCAATTAACTGCAGATGTGATTGCTTGACCTAGTTGAATGCCCTGCAAAAGAAGGTGTACTCCAAGTCCAAGGAGGGATAGCCTTGATTGTTTTCTCACTTCCCTAGTCTAAATTCAATCTCTTGCTATGTATTTCTGAAAGGATCCCTAACAAATTAAGATTGCTGGAGTTCGATGGGGTTTGGCTGGAAGAGCTAAAATTGGGCTGAGAGAGTTCAGAGGTTGCTTGGCAGCAACAGGGGCAGCAGAGAGTTGTTGCAAAAGGAAGCTATGGTGGACCGATAGAAGAAGGAATGGCTGCTCTATTGCCATCTCAAAGCTGCAGCCAAGAGCCAGCAACTAAGGAAGATGCAGGGTCAGCCAGCCTTGAAAATGGAATAGGTAGCCAGACAGAATTGGGATGACAGAAGAATCAAAGATAGCAAACGGAAGCCTTTAAGATGGCACTGTCCAATAAAAATAGAATGCAAGTCACAAATAGATGCCATGTATGTGCTTAAATTTTCTAGTAGCCACATTACAAAAAAAGTAAAAAGAAACAGGTGAAATTAATTTTATCAATATATTTTATTCAACTCAACATCCAAAATACAACTTCAACATGTGTCAACATAGAAAATTATTAATGAGATAGTCTACATCTTTTTCATACAACAGCTTCAAAACCCACAGTGTAGACCAGGTGTGTTGGCTCATGCTTGTAATCCCAGCACTTTGGGAGGCCGAGGCGGGTGGATCACCTGAGGCCAGGAGTTTGAGACCAGCCTCACCAACGTGGAGAAACCCTGTCTCTATTAAAAATACAAAATTAGCTGGGCGTGGTGGTGCATGCCTGTAATCCCAGCTACTCGGGAGGCTGAGGCAGGAGAATCGCTTGAACCCGGGAAGCAGAGGTTGCCGTGAGCCGAGATCGCGCCATTGCATTCCAGCCTGGGCAACAAGAGTGAAACTCCATCTAATAATAATAAAAAAAAACTCCACAGCGTATTTTATACTTACAGCATCCCTGACGTGGAGTTGGCCGCATTTCAGGTGCTCAATAGCCACATGTGGTTAGCACTACCATATTGGACAGAGCAGCCCTAGGATAATGCTGGATAACAGACAATGATGCAAAGGGGCCCAGAAATGGTAGGGGAAAAGTAATGAGAGAGAGAGGCTGGAGGCTGGAGGCACAGACGGCCCTGACTGGGAGTTGTACTTTTTGACAAAGTGACAGCTTGAAGCTTCATTTTCTAACTTGGACTTTGCCTTTTATAATTTATTATAATGTAACTCTTTAAAGAGTGTGGGTAGGAAATATAGAATATCTGAGCTGGAAGTTCTCTTGGAGACTTTAGACTGAATAATAGGAATTGCAATTTGTTTTCTACTCCTGAAGCTACTACGATTAATTGGTTGAAGCTGCCCAAACCACTGGGTTGAGAAGGATTCTGAGGTTGTATCTTGCCTCAGTAGGAAAGAGCACAGTGATTGTCTTTCAGGGATGACACATATTTGCCATCATCCTTGATATAGTACAAAGGTCTCGAGGTTCTGGAGACCTACTGGACTCTGTGAATTATTACCGAGCTCAGTTTCTTCATTTGTAAAATAGGAATAATTGTCAGGAATAATTTAATTCCTGGAATAATTGTCAGGAATAATTTCAGGATTGCTGTGGACATCAAATGATATATGTTAAGGGTCTAACACATGGTTATAAATGCTAATTTCCTTCTCATTTTCCATTTACTATTTGATCATATTATTTATCAGGGGAAACGCCATATCGGGGGCACTAATCATTAGAGGGACTAGTCAGTTGCCGAAACCCCCAGTTGTAATTGGTATCACCATAAAGAAGATTATGACGAATGCATGGGTGGTAACAATAACATTATAGATCTGATCGTCTCCTAATAGAGTTCCTGGTTGGCCTATTTCAGCTTGAATTAGGAGGCTTAAGGCAGTGCCTACTAGCCCCGCTCATGCACCAAATAGCAGATACAGTGTTCCGATATCTTTGTGATTAGTTGAAAACAATCAATGGTTGATGAACATTAGTGGAAAAAGGGTAAAATGACTGAGTAAGCATTAGACTATAAATCTAAAGACAGAGGTCAAGACCTCTTTTTACCAGCCCTGAGGTGATTTTTCATGTTGAATTGCAAATTCAAAGGAGCAGCTTCAATCCTGCAGGGCTTCTCCTGCCTTTTCCCCCCAGTGGCGGGAGAAGTAGATTGAAGCCAGTTGATTAGGGTATTTAGCTGTTAACTAAGTTTTCATGGGTTTGAATCCCACCGATCTAGCAAGGGCTTAGCTTAATTAAAGTGGTTGATTTGCATTCAATTGATGCAGAATAGAGTCTCGCAGTCCTTAGGTTTATTACAGAAATTAAGTAAAATGTACTTACTAAGGGCTTTGAAGGTCCTTGGTCTTTTTTAACCTAAATTTCTAAATAAATAACACTACTGGAGAGACTGGTAAGAAGAAAATAGAAATGATAAGCAGAAGGAGGAGTAGTATGGTTTTTGTATTTTCGAATTGTCATTTTATTTTCATATTATTAGATGTGGGGAATATTGTCATTGAGACGGAACAAATTAGGCGTATATAAAAGTACAGGTTGAGTAGCATTATAATAGCTATAACGTTCGGGGTAATAAGACTATTGTTTTTTGTAAATTCTTGAATGATAATTCATTTAGGCAGGAATCGTGTTAATGGAGGTAAGCCACCTAGGGATAATAGAATTAGTGGAATTATAGGTGTTAATCATGTTAATTTATTTCAAGTGCCAGATAGTGATAGGGTTGTAGTGCATTTACTCAGGTTAAGTACTAGAAATGTGGTAATTGTTAAAATAAGATAAACAATCAGATTTAGAATGGTAATGTCTGGGTTATAAGTTAGTACTGCTATCATTCAGCCTATGTGAGTACTCGAGGAGTAGGCTAGGATTTTACAGAGTTGTGTTTGATTAAGTCCTCCTCAACTGCCCACTATAATGGATAGAATTGTGGAAGGTAGGAGAATATCCATATTTATTAATGGGAAAATGTGAAACATAAGAGAGATGGGGGCTAGTTTTTGTCGTGTGAGAAGAAGTATGCCAGATATTAGAGAGGTTCCTTGGGTTACCTCTGGGACTCAGAAGTGAAAGGTGGCTATTCCTAGTTTTATTACTAGAACCATTATTATTATTAAGGATGAAAATTGATTAATAGTATTTATTATTGTTCATTGTCTGGAGGACAGGTTATTAGTAAGGATACCTATTATGAGAATTATAGATGTGGTTGCTTGTGTAAGAAAATATTTGGTGGCTGCTTCTGTAGAGCAGGGATTAATTTTTTAAATCAAGATTGGGGTAAGAGCTAGTATCTTTATTTCTAGTCCTGTTCAGATAAGAAATCAGTGTGAGCCTAGCATTGTGTTAAGAGTTCCTATGAAAATAGTGAGGAAAGTAATAAGTTGGGCTAATGGGTTAATTAGTACGGGAAGGATATAACCAACAGTTTTGGGGTATGGGCCTGATAGCTTATTTAGCTGACCTTACTTTAGGACTTGGTGTAATAGGTAGCACGAAGAGATTTGGATTCTCAGGGGTAGGTTCAATTCCTATAGTTCTGGAACTAAGAGGATTTTAACCTCTGTTGTTTACTCTACCAAGTAATTGTTTTGTCAGACATATTTCGTATGTTTGAGGTGGAATTCTGGAAATTAGAATACGTATTGAAGTATATCATATGCAGAATGCTGGTGTAAGTGGTATGGAATTTTTTCATAGAAGTTATATGAGTTGGTCGTAGTGGAATCAGGGGTATGCTATTCAAATTCATAAAAAGAGGGCAGTTAAAATGAGGGTTTTGGTAATGAAATTTATGGTATAGAGTTCTGGTGAATATATAGTGTGCAGTGATCCTAGGAAAATAGTAGTAGTTAGGGCATTTATCACGATAATATTCATGTATTCTGCTATAAAGAAAAGGGCAAATGAACCTGCAGCATATTCAATGTTGAAACCTGAGACTAATTCTGACTCTCCTTCTGTTAGGTCAAAAGGGACTTGGTTAGTTTCTGCTAGCACGCAAATAAATCATATCATGGCTAGGGGCCATGATGGTAGGAGCAGTCATAGGAATTCTTGCATTGTGATGAGTGCATATAAGTTGAATGAGCCACTTATTAGTAGGACTGATAGCAGGATGATGGCTAGGGTGACTTCATGTGAGATTGTCTGGGCCACGGCTCGTAATATGCCGATCAGGGCATAGTTTGAATTGGATGCTCATCCTGATGATAGAATGGAGTAGACGGCTAGGCTTGATGTGGCTAATATAAATAGGAGGCTTACATTAAAATTAATTAGGGGATCCGGTATAGGGAGGGGGGTCCACAAGAGGAGAGCGATAGAAAGAGCCAGGGTTGGGGCAATAATATAAACGGGAATAGTAGATGTTGAGAATTGTAGGGGTTCTTTGGTGAAAAGTTTTATTGCGTCAGCGAATGGTTGGAGCTTTCCATAGGGGCCTACCGTGTTAGGTCCTTTGCGTATTGTATATAGCCTAAGATTTTTCGTTCAATGAGTGTAAGGAATGCTATAGCGATTAGGGTGGGAATAATAAGTAGGAGAAGGTTAATTATAGGCATATTGTTAAGAAGAGGAGTTGAACCTCTGATTGTAAAGTTTTAAGTTTTATGCAATTGCTGGGCTCTGCCATCTTAACAAACCCTGTTCTTGGGTAGGGTGTGTGATGATTTGTTAGATTGAGATAATATCATCTATGGGGCGAGGGCACTTTATGAAGTGGGCCCTATTTCTCTTGTCCTTCTGTACTAGGAGAAATGTTAAATAGATAGAAACTGACCTGGATTACTCTGGTCTGAACTCAGATCACGTAGGACTTTAATCATTGAACAAATGAACCCTTAATAGTAGCTACGCCATTAGGATGGCCTGATCCAACATTGAGGTTGTAAACCCTATTGTCTATATGGACTCTAGAAAAGGATTGTGCTGTTACCCCTAGGGTAACTTCTTCTGTTGATCAAATTATCGAATCAATGTGTGTCAGCTCGCTTACACTAGTGCGGTCTTAGTCTAGGCTGTTTGGAGGTTGAATTATACTCCGAGGTCACCCCAACCAAAATTTTAATGCACAGACAGTATGCTAAGGCCTGTAGGCTTTTTGAAGTTTTATTTGCATTAATGAGTTAAAGCTCCATAGGGTCTTCTTTTCTTATTTGTTTATACCCACCTCTTCACGGATAGGTCAATTTCACTGATTACAAGTAAAAGACAGCTGAACCCTCGTGTGGCCATTCGTAAAAGTCCCTATTTAGGGAACAAGTGATTATGCTACCTTTGCACAGTCAGGATACCGTGGCCGTTGAACATATGTCAGTGGGCAGGCAGTACCTCTAATACTGGAAATGCTAGAGGAGATATTTTTGGTAAACAGGCCGAGTAAGATTTGCAGAGTTCCTTTTACTTTTTGTAATCTTTCCTTAGAGCATGCCTGTGTTGGATTAACAGAATAAATAATAAGGTGCTTGTTATATTGCTTATTAATATTAGGCTGTTAGTTGTCAGTGGGTTATTCCAGTCTGATATAAGCTTATGCAATGGAGAATATTTTCACGTTACTTATGTGAACATTATTGCTTCTATTAAATAACAGATTAGTCCAAGGTGTTGTTAGGAGTTCAGTAAAGTGATTAGAATTTAAGATAATTAGATGTTGAGGTTGAACGCTTTCTTAATTGGTGGCTGTTTGTGGGTCAACTATGGGGGTAATATTTTTTACTTTCTACAGAAAAGTTATTCCCTAGGGTCTAAAGAGCTGTCCCTCTTTAGACTAACAGACTTACAGGGAGCTTAAGTAATTCTGTGGGTAAGTTTAAAGTTGAACTAAGATTCTATCTTGGACAACCAGCTATCACAAGGCTCCGTAGGCTTGTCACCACTACTCATGAATTTTCCCACTATTTTGCCACACAGGTGGGTGTGCTCTTTCAGCTGTTCTTGAGTAGCTCGTCTGGTTTCGGGAGACTTGGCTATGGTTCTCTGTGTCAAGTTATTTCTAGCTAGTACATTATGCAGAAGGTAAAAGACTTTATCTTTGCTTTTTAGTGCTTAATTTAGTTCTTTCATCTTTCCCTTATGGTAGTGTATCTACTGCATCAAGGCATAAATTTCTATCGCCTACACTTTCGTCTAAGGTAAATGGTTTGATTGAGATGATTTAATAATATTTTTAGCGAGGTTTGGGGCTAGAATCGGCTCCATGTGATCAGGTCGTGATGAAATCTTCCAGGTTTAAGCCGGATGCTTTAGGTTAAGCTACACTTTGTCCAAGTATGTTTGTCCAAGCGCACTTTCCAGTACGCTTACCATGTTACTATGACTTATTTCCTCTGAATGTATGTAGAGAGTTTTAGCTATAATAATTTTTAGAACATTTGAGGAGGGTGACGGGCGGTGTGTGCATGCTTCATGGCCTTATTCAACCAAGCACTCTACTCTTGGTTTCCTGCTAAATTCTCCTTGAGCCCTTAGATTTCATAAGGGTTGTAGTAATATTTTCTGGGTATAGAAAATGTAGCCCATTTCTTGCCACCTCATGGGCTACGCCTTGACCTAACGTTTTTATGTGTGTACTTGTGCTTACTTTATTACCTTTTTAGGGTTTACTGAAGATGGCAGTATATAGGCTGGGGGCAAGAGGTGGTGAGGTATATCGGGGTTTATCGATTATAGAACAGGCTGCTCTAGAGGGGTATAAAGTACCTCCAAGTCCTTTGAATTTTAAGCTGTTGCTTGCAGTATTCTGGCGAATGGTTTTGTTAGTTTAACTATTAGAGCTTAGGGCTAAGCACAGTGGGTTATCTAATCCCAGTTAGGGTCTTAGCTATTGCGTCTTGAGGATATTAAAGCCACTTTCGTAGTATATTTTATTTCAGCTGGAATTTTTCACAACGTAGATGGAGTTTAGCTTTATTGAGGGCAAACCTTAAACACTCTTTACACCAAGTTCTATTAGCTTGGGCTAATCACATGGCCGCGGTGGCTAGCATGAAATTGACCAACACTAAATATCAGTATAGCTTAAACTTTCGTTTATTGCTAACAATTTATCACTGCTGTTTCCCGTGGGGGTGTGGTTGAGTAAAGCGTTTTGAGCTGCATTTGTGCGTGCTTGATACTTGCTCCTTTTGATCTGGATGATCTAGAGGGCATTTTCACTGGGGCGGGGATGCTTGCATGTGTAATCTCACTGAGAGTTAAAGATAGGCCAGGACCAAACCTATTTGTTTATGGGGTTATGCAGACGCATCCAGACATTTTCAGTGTCTTGCTTTAAAATAATTAAGCTACTTTAACTGTGTGTATATATATATATATATATATATATATATATATATATATATATTTCAATGTAGGTTTAAAATATGAGAAAGGAAGAAGTAAATGTAAATGGTTGTTTATAGTTCTGAGAATTCAGGGCTTTAAAATTGAATTGGCAAAGGTTTGATTAAGATAGTTATTCCTAATAAGAATATAATTGATTTAGGATATAATATATTGGGTAGTGCTTTCAGAGGGGTATGTTCAAGGCGTTATATTAGTATTAGGGTGGAAATTTAGTTACTATATTTACTATATAAATTGGGGTTTAGTTTAGTAGAAGGGGTTTAAGATTTTTAGGAAAATTTACATAAATCGAGGGATAGCTGTTGGGGTATTTATAGTTAAAATAAAATTTTTGGGCTCTGACGGGTTGCGTTTTAGTCTCTTGTTTTTGGGGTTTGGCAAGAGTATATTTGTCTAGGTTAATAGCAAAGTTAGAGATGGGGGGAGGGGGGCTTGCAGATTTAATTGGAAGAAGTTCCTGAAAGTAAGCGTAGGTGCGTGAGCGTAGGTGCGTGAGCGTAGGTGCGTGAGCGTAGGTGCGTGAGCGTAGGTGAGCGTAGGTGCGTAAGCGTAAGTGCGTGAGAGAACCTGCTTGAAGGAACCTGCTTGAGGGAACCTGCTTGAGGGAACGTGTGTGAACCTACCTGCTTGTTGATTAATTATTATGTCCTTCAAGCATGAATTAATTAACACCGTATGGTTGTTATGTGGGTTCGGAATATTCAATATAAGCTCAGCTTCTACAATTGATTTAAGTAGGAATCAAATCGGAGTACGTCTACAGAGGATTCAGAGGGGACCAGGCCTTCCGCGATGGTGAGTGATAGCATCCCCCAAAGTTAAAAATACCAAATGCGTGGCTATGCTCCCGTGACTGGTTAATAGGGTGATAATCACTAGTCCATCAAGATGTCTTATTTAAGGGGCATATGTGGGCGATCTTAGGTTTATGGCCCTGAGTTAAGAACCAGATGCCAGGTATAGTTTCAGTATAGTCACCCCCAAGTTTTATGGGCCTGGAGCGAGGCGGGTAGCACTCCCGAGCAGGATACTGATTTCACGGAGGTTGGTAGATTAAGAGACCAAAATTTGGTAGGGGATATCCATGTTGACGAGGGATTTCTTGAATGAAATGCACTATGTCCAATGAACGAACGTACGCAGTATGTAATGTTAGGGATTTTTAGTATGGGTCAATATTTGTGAGGGGTAAGTTTGTATTGTACGGTCAATGGTTGTAATGTGCGATAGTTAATTAGGTAATTTCTATTACATGCTTATATGCATGTGGACTAGGTTTGCAATGTACGTTAATTTATGAATGTACTATGTACAAGTAAGTAATTATAGTACTATATATTATTCATGGGGACTAGCAGTAATGCACGAAGTACATAAGAACACTAATGTATTAGTGCTAACTGATTAATACTGACACAGTAGTTAAAGTATGTGCTAAGTAAAGTTCAGGGAGTGGCTTAATTAGAATTTCAGCTTTGGATGTTGACAGTGAAGCGGGAATGGTTTTTCCCTGTGTTGTCCTGGGGAGGGGGGTTCTCCATTTCTGGTATACAAGTCCAGAGTATTGTATTATACTACAGGGGAATTTTAATTTAAGTAGTGAGTGGTGTAAGTGTGAGAATGGGAGAGAAGTATATAATAGATGCTGCCTGCCCAATCGTAATAAAACGGTATTCGACTGGCTGTCCTCCGATTCATGTGAGTGTGAGTAAGTCAGCCACTAGGATTCAGAATAGGCAGTGACTGAATGGCTGAAATATTACCCTTTGTTGTTTAGATGTGTGAAGTATGGGAATAACTGCTAGAATGAGAATGGAAGATATGAGTTCTAATACGCCTCCTAATTTGTTAGGGATGGATCGTAAGATTGCGTATGCAAACAAAAAATATCATTCTGGCTTAATGTGGGGTGGGGTATTAAGGGGGTTGGCTAAAGTGTAATTATCTAGGTCACTCAGGAGATCAGGTGAAAATAGTACTAGAGTTGTTAGGAGGAGGAGGAGAAAAATTAAACCTAGAATGTCTTTGGTTGTGTAGTAGGGGATGAAAAGTGATTTTGCTGGGGTCTGATGAAATCCCTAAAGGGTTGTTAGATTCTGTTTCATGTAAAAATAAAAGGTGAACAGTTGCTAGAGCTGTAATGATGAAGGGTAAGATGAAATGAAAGGGGAAAAATCGTGTGAAGGTGGCTTTGTCAACTGAGAATCCACCTGAGATTCATTGTACAAGGTCGGTTCCAATATTTGGGATGGCTGATAATAGATTTGTAATTACTGTAGCACCTCAGAATGATATTTAGCCTCATGGGAGTATGTAGCCTATGAATGCTGTTGCTATAGTGGTAAGAAGGAGTATAATGCCAATATTTCAGGTTTCTAAAAATAGGAATGACCCGTAGTATAGGCCTCAGCCAATGTGTAAGAAAAAGCAGATGAAAAATATTGAGGCGCCGTTAGCATGAAAATAGCAGACCATTCAGCCATAATTTACATCTCAGCTGATATGAGCAACTGACGAGAAAGTGGCTAGGGTAACTGATGTAGAGTGTATGGCCAGGAATAACTCTGTGATGATCTGGAGAATAAGGCAGGCACCAATAAGTGAGCCAAAATTTCATTTTGTAGAGATGTTAGATGATGTAGGAAGATCAATAAATGCGTAGTTAATAATTTTAATTAGTGGGTGTGTTTTGCGGGTATTGGTCATTGGTGTTTTTATAATTGAAAACGATGGTTTTTCATATCATTAGTCATGGTTATAATCCTTGTAGGAATAATAGCATATGCTTTATTTTTATTGAGTATTCTCTTAGTTATAGGGTTTGTAGGTTTTTCTTCAAAACCTCCTATTTATGGAGGCTTGAGTTTAATTATTAGTGGTGCTGTGGGTTGTGGTATTGTGTTGAATTTTTGTGGGGCTTTCATGGGATTAATAGTCTTTTTGATTTATTTGGGTGGTATAATGGTTGTTTTTGGTTATACTGCGGTAATAGCTATTGAGGAATACCCGGAAACATGGGGATCAAGTATTGACATTTCAGGGGATTTATGATTAGGATTATTAATGGAGTTGATGTTGGTTTGGTGAATAGCTGAATACGATGGGGTTGTGATCACAATTAATTGTAATAGCTCAGGGAGTTGATTAATTTTTGAGGGGTAGGGGTAGGGGTTGTTGCATGAGGATCCTGTGGGTGTGGCTGCCTTGTAGAGTTATGGATGTTGATTAGTGGTAGTTGCTGGTTGATCATTATTTGTTAGCATTTATGTCGTAATTGAAATTTCTCGGGATAATAGATTAGACTATTAACAATAGGGTTAGAGGGATGGAATAAAAAAGGAGAGAAAGTAGAGTTTAATTGGGCCTTTTTGAGTAGATATGGTAATGGAAGTTGAAACTTGGGTTTGTGAAATGGACTTTGGCTTTTGCTATGGACTTTTCTAGTCAAATTAGGTCTAGTAGAAGTAAAGCCAGATTTTGGTTTGTGAATAGGCTTGAGTGGGGGATTGAACGGTGAATTGTGAGTGAATAAAATCCTAGTATATTAGAGAAGTTGAATGTCTGTAATGGGAACCTTAGTTTAAGATTATTAGTTATGAGATTAAGCTCTATTGCTAGGAAGAGGCCTAGGGTGGTCACAGCTAGGGCTGTGAACTTTAGGTGAAGTGGTATGGTTGTTTGGGGAGATGAAACAGGAATAATACTGTTGGTGATGAGGAATCCAGCGAAGATGCTACCGATTTTTAGGCACTTAGTTGGGTTAATTAGGAATGGATTATTTTCGTTAATAATAGAGTTATGAAGCGAGGCTGTCCTATTAGAGTGAAGAATACAGATACTATAGACAGCTGTTAAGGAGGTGGCAATAAGAGTAATAGAAAGTGCTCAGGCGTTGGTATATGAGGTGTTTACGGTTTCAATAATAAGGTCTTTAGAGTAAAAGCCTGTGAGGAAAGGCATACCAGTAAGTGCAAGGCTACCAATAATAAAGGAGGAAGAAGTAAAAGGTAGAGTCTTGAATAGCCCTCCTGTTTTTCAGATGTCTTATTCTTCATTGAGGTTATGGATGATGGGCCCTGAACATACAAATAATATAGCTTTAAAAAAGGCGTGGGTGCAGATGTGAAAGAATGCTAGGTGCAGCTGATTAATGCCAATTGTGGCTATCATAAGGCCCAACTGGCTTGAGGTGGAGAATGCTATGATTTTTTAAATATCATTTTGCATTAGAGCGCAGATTGCTGTAAATAAGGTAGTAGTAGCCCCTAGACAATAACGTGAAGGTTTGGATTAATAGGTTATTTTCTATTAAAGGGTAGAAACAGACGAGTAGGAAAACACCTGCTACAACTACAGTGCTGGAGTGGAGCAGGGCTGAGACTGGGGCTGGGCCTTCTATGGCGGATGGGAGTCGGAGATGGAGGCTGAATTGAGCTGACTTTCCTGTGGCTGCTAAGAGAAGGCTAATTAATTGAAGGGGTCATGGGTGGGATTTAGAATAAACGCTTGTTGAAGCTTTTCATGTGTTGGAGGTTAAGGGAAATCATGCTATAGCTAAAATAAAGCCAGTATCTCTGATGCAGTTATACAGAACTGTCTGGAGGGCTGCTGTATTAGCATCTGCTCGGCTGTACCATCAGCCAGTTAGTAAGAAAGACATGATTCCTATGCCTTCTTATCCCACAAAGCGTTGAAAGAGGTTGTTGGCGGTAACCAGAATTAATATTGTGATGAGGAAAATAAGTAAATATTTAAAAAATTGATTAATGTTAGGGTCTGAGTTTATGTATCATATTGAGGATTCTACAATAGATCAGGTAACGAATAGTGCTACTGGGATAAATATGGTGGAAAAGTGGTCTCGTTTGAAGCTTAGTGAGAGTTTAATAATTTGAATAGTTATTCAATGTCAGTTTGAGGTAATGACTTGGTCTATACATATAAACATTGCTGTGGGGATGAGGCTAATGATGAAGGCGGCTGCGATAGATATTTTTACGTAATTTGGGTATGAACCTTTTTTGCAGGGATTAATTAAGGTGATAATGATTGGTAGGCTTAAGGGGATTGGGGTTATTATAGTAGTGGAAATATACATATTTGTTACTTTTATTTGGAGTTGCACTAATGTTTTTGGTTCCTAAGGCCAACGGATGACTAATCCTTTAAAAGTTGAGAAAGCCACGTTGTTAGGCGTAGGGGCACGAGTTAGCAGTTCTTGCATACTTTCTTGATTGATAAGAAGTTGTACGCTTCTATTATTAGATCCACAGTCTAATGTTTGTGCTCGGTATCATACCATATTGTCTGGGAGAATATGATACGTGAAATGCTGTCCTTACCTGTAAGGATCCAGGTTTAAAAAATTATCATACATTAGTGAGTAGCCTGATGTAGTATACATTTTAGTGTCTTATTGCAGTTGAAAAGATATGTTATTTATAAATACATCATTCACAATGTAAATCTTTTCTGTTAAAAGAAAGGAAAGTCAGGGAAGGCTTTGTGAAGGATGTAGATCTTGAGTCAAACAGATACATAATGATATACATAATAATAGACCATTTTAAAGGACATGGACTTAGAACTCTCAAAATAATTCCCAAAGTAAACCCTTAAGCCTATCATTTCAAGCCCTTCCAATTGATAACCACATTTTTTATTTGTGGCTTATGTTAATGAGTTAGTGGAATTTATATATATATATATATATATATATATATATATATTTTTTTTTTTTTTTTTTTTTTTTTGAGCCGGAGTCTCATTCTGTCGCCCAGACTGGAGTGCAGTGGTGCGATCTCGGCTCACTGCCAGCTCTGCCTCCCAGGTTCATGCCATTCTCCTGCCTCAGCCTCTTGAGTAGCTGGGACTACAGGCGCCCGCCACCACGTCTGGCTAATTTTTTGTATTTTTAGTAGAGACGGGGTTTCACCGTGTTAGCCAAGATGGTCTCGATCTCCTGACCTCGTCATCCGCCTGCCTCGGCCTCCCAAAGTGCTGGGATTACAGGCGTGAGCCACTGCGCCCGGCCAGTACTATATTTTTATATAGTTGGTTCTGGACATCATTATGTCTCGTTTATTAAAGTTGTCAACTTTTGAAAGTCAAAGCAGAAACTTTTTATTGTGTCCTAAAATTATGGATGCTTTGCCAGGCCTGAATAATGGTTCCAGTGCAAATTGTCTCTTCTGATAATCTCTTCTCATTGAGATTTCTTAGAAGGCAAAAGATTGTACTAGAGCTGCAGTTTAAGCCATTCACATTTCACCTGCTTCAATTCCTTCACCTTTAATTCCAAATCATTTTATTTCCTGCAGCCAAAACGAGTCTTTGAACTTTGCAGTCTTTAATCAGGAGATTCATTATTCCAGAAACATGCCTAGGTTTATGATTAAAATAAGTCAGGCTGCACATTTTTCATTTTTCCTGTAAGAACCCAGGCAGCAGGCAGTAAAGAATCTGTCAAAGGTTTGCTTCTTTTAACAAGTATGGAAGCCAGCCACTTCAAGCCCTGAAGCTGTTAGAGGAATTATAGGCGTAATGAGTTTATGCATTAAACTTTTTTTTTAAAGTACAGAAGGATTCTAGGCAAACTTTGGAATCCTGCTGTTCTAATGGCTTCTCTCCCTACTTCAGTAGCTTTCAATTTTTTAAATTTGTGTCCATGTTACCTTGTGACTGAAGGGGACACATGCACAAATAACTGAAAGTAGAGTTTCATGATCTAACACCTTCATTCACTTCATGGGATATACTTGGTATTTTTTATATTCCTTTCTCTTGTAATAGGTTCATTTAAAAAATGAAACTGATTTCACAATATACTAAAGGGTTGTGGCTTGCAACCTGAAAATGCTGCTCTGTAAGAACTCACAAGGTCCCTTCCAGGCTTCATGGTGTTAGAAGAACATTGAATCATTGTGCTAGGCGGGAGAAACGTCGGTCAGAAGTTGAAATTTACCACTAGTTGGCAGCAAAAGAGTATCATAGCTTCCAGCCACAAAGGTAGGGATTTGGACAGGGCATTAGGAAGAAGAGGCAATGTAGGCATGTTGTTTCGTCCAAAGTCTCAAACCTTTGGCAGCGCTACAGATTTTAGCTCTCCAAAGGTCAAGAAGAACTCCCCTGGAAGATACGTGCTTCGGATCATGCCATGCAACATATCATTAGGCTTTTAAAAAAGTTATATTTCCTAAATCAGCTGGCTTTTATAACTTATTGCTAAGGGGGAGAATGCACGTAACAAAACAGTGAATATAATGTGATAATGTTTTGTGGAAAATAAATATATAGGCAAAGAAACGTATGTGTGTGTGCCTGTACGATGCATATGTATTTTTTCTATTTTTCTATTTTAATGAGAAAAATATTATTATTAAAACTACAGATATTTACATATTACTCTAACTCAGTAAGCTAGGTCTAAGTTCTTAGCACTGTGTGACATTCTGTGGGGAATACAAAAAGAAGCCTCAATTGTCCAGATGGCGCTACTTCTCTGTCTTCAATAGAGATGCAACAAGGCGTAATGAAAAGAAGAACTAAGTTCTAGTACTGGTTTGGAATCTAGTCAGTTGTGAAGTGTTTAATATGTGGGCTCACTCAACCGCTGACCTTGGTTGTGGATGGTGTGAGGTTGATCCTTTCCTATCCAATCCCCTCATGGTCATCAGCAGAAAGGCTGTACAGTCTTTCCAGGGGAAACCCAGAGCTTTCCATGGTTGGGCATTTTATCTTTAGTCATAAACTTAGGTAAAACTTAGTGGCACATGTGGAGTCAAATCTTGAACTTTGCCTCATTCTCCCCTTGTAATACCAATGAATTTAATGGCTCACACAGGATTTATGAGTTCGGAGTATCAGGTCTGTGTACAACTGGCTCAAATCACTAATCTTTCACTTTTGCTTACTTTAGTGTTAGAATCTGGGAAGGTTGTGCAGTGGAACCACTCACTTCAAAATATCAAAGCGTTTAAAAAACTGGGCTTAGCTGAATCTTAACAGAGCAAATCTACTTTGCCCTCTGGTTTTTACATGCACCCTCTTATGACATTAGCTTCAGATGATTGGCATGGTGAGCAGCTACTAATATATTCTTGCCAAGTTACTATCTATTTAGGGAATCTTTAACACAGCTGTATGACACAAAACAAGTTAATGCCTCTGTTAAAGCCATTAGATGGGACTCGACAGTGTCTATCCAGAGAATCTTTCAGGCTATGCTGTTGATGTAATGCGCCATATTGGTTCCTTGTGTGTAGTCAGGGTTTATAATGCCAGTTTGTATATAGGAATCACATAACATACTAATCCATGTGAGAAGAGTGACGACAGGTACTGATGAATCCCAGGAGCTTTGCTGAGTGCAAGTAGTCGATGTTTGACCAAGATGCACTTTAGGAAGGTGGCGATGTGTGAAACTGAAATGCTCTACACCTTTTCCCAGGCTGCCTTTTGACAACAGGAGTGTTTGGATCTCTTAGCCCTGTGTTCCTGTGGTGCTACACGTCTCCATATGCATGTTATTCCCTTTCTTGTGTTTGTGCTGACAACTGCTTCTTCATAGTCTTAGGGCTCAGAAAAGGATACCGCAAAATGAATGCCTCAGCAGCAGCCTCAGAAACAAAAGTTTCTCTTTGAATTTCTCCTACCCTTCTGTCTCTGCTCCCTTCTGCTGCCCTGGGGCCAGCCATAGAAACTAGAATCTTTCCCCCAGGTAGGTCAGAGAAACCAGAACCCCTTTTACCCAAAATCAGCCATAAAACCGAAAAAATACTACTCCAACTTTCCTCCTGCCTTTCTGTGTTAAAAAAAAAAATGGCCATAAGGAAACTGTGTGACCTACCTTGTTTGACTGTAGGTCATCAGACCTCCCTCTCCACTCCAGAGAGGATCCTGCCCCATACCCAGAAGGAAGGATTGCACAGAGGCCAAGAAGAACAGAGACAGACAGGACTGGCTGGGTTCTCCACTCATTCTATTGCTAATAATAATAATGCTGAAGCATTTATATCCGCTCTACATTTTACAATTTATATATTATACCCCCTTTTAAATTTACATATTATACCTTTTGAAATTTATATATTATATCCTTTTTGTCCAAGCATATTTCAACACAGCTGTCCATACTTTGTTGAACCTAAGCACAAAAATGAACAGTTTCCGTTGTATCACTGGGTCTTCATTCTGAAGGCTCCCATTTCACATAAAACTATGATTAAATACATTTGTGTGTCTTTTCTCCCATTATTCTGCCTTTTGTGGATTGATTTCCCCACAAAACTTCTGAGGGTAAAGAGGAAGTTTTTCATTGGCCCCTACGATGGCAATGGCCTTCACACATTTACAGCAGTTCCTGGGAGCATGCCTTGCATAGCCTTGAACATCCTTTAGGAAACTGCTATTTCTCCTTGTCCTCTGCACGAGGCCCTCTTCTGGAGAGGACTTCTGAGCTGAGTTGTGTCCTCTTGGCAGTGCCCACTGTCAGGCTTCTTGTCTGCTGTGTATGATACCATTGCTGTTTCTATTTATACTTAAACACATATTAATTTATTTACCTTCTCACCTTTGGGTGTTTATAGCAAAAATACACTTAATAAAATCATAAAGCATGAATTAGAATGCAAATGTTATCACCAGAGAAATATGTTATGGTAGGAATTTAAAGCTACAAGGGTTACTTACTTTCTTTTGCAAGAATCTCTCATCTTTTTTATTTTGAATCTCTTTAGGATCTATCGCTATAGAGGTTCTATATAAAAGAACCTCTGATAGGTATAGAGGTTCTTGCCCTGCAAATGCACAAATGGACATACATAGCAATTGTTGCCTACAATTTCAGGGGCTTCTTGGACTTTCTGAAGTCTCAGCGTTTATCAGTAGATATCTGTGAGACCCATGCTAAGATTGTTGTTTAAGACTTTCTTTTACTTATAGGATCTTAGCTGAGATAAGAAGGAGTTTTGTCACTTGGAGTATATGCCCCATCAGGAATATTCCTTAGGACAAAGAGTTACTGGTCCTAAAGAGGATGGAACTTTCATGCTATAGAATGTATTCAGTGACCCAGACCCAGATGAAAAGCAAATATCTTTCTTTGAACAAATATTTAAGTATGGCCTCTGATGAGTAATTTGCTGAATTGAGGCAGTGGTGCTTTACTTTTGAACCACAGTAGGGGTGATGGAGGACTATAAAGAGCTGAGTACTTACAGAATATTGTGGCCTTTCTTCTTCCTATCCTTAATACACAGCAAATCCAGCCTTTGTCTCCTCCATGATTACTGATTTCCCTAAAGATGTTTTAATTTCATATCCTTCAAAATGCAACATTTTAAGATGAGGTTAAGAGAAAAGCCTTTCTTAGGTGGAAGAAAGAGAAACTCTGATTTCCTGTTCTCTCCTTGATCCCTTTTACACATTGTAAAGCAGAGGATAGAGTAAGAAGTGTTGAGATAGTGGAAAGATCAGGGGCTTGAATGAAAGAATTTGATTTCTCTCTCTCTCTCTTATTTTATTTTATTTTGTGTGTGTGTATGTATGTGTGTGTATGTATGTGTGTGTGTAGAGATGGGGTCTTGCTCTGTCAACCAGGCTGGAGAGTAGTGGTGTGATCGTAGCTCACTGCAGCCTCAAACTCCTGGGCTCAGGGGTCTTCCCACCCGAGCCTTCCAAGTAGCTGGGACTACAGGTATGCGCCATTATGCCTGGCTAATTTAAAAAATAATTTTGGCCAGGCAGAGTGGCTCACACCTGTAATCCCAGAACTTTGGGAGGCCGAGGCAGGAGGATTGCTTGGGCCCAGGAGGTCAAGACCAGCCTAGGCAGCACAGGAAGGCCCTGTCTCAAAAAATTAAAATAAAATGAAAAAAAATTTATTTAAAGAGATAGGGTCTCTCTGTGTTGCGCAGGCTGGTCTTGAACTCCCGGGCTTAAGCGAAGCTCCCACCTCAGACTCCCAGTAGTTCCTTTGTGGTCAGAATTAGCTTTAAAACCCAACTGCACCATGTACTAGCTACACCCTCTCTAAATCTCCATTTCTTAATACAATATTTGGGAGGTAATAATACATGTGGACAAGTACATAATTAGTTTTAAATACATGATGACTTCCCAGCCTTTCTAGTCTTTCGTATTTTTTCCCCTTTGAACGCTTAAGGCAATTCACTGATGTCAGGGGAAAGGAAATAATTAATTTATTTGTGTATTTGTTCATCCATTCATTCGTTTGTTCATTCAGTTCCATCAACAGGCTTTGAATACTTGCACTGCATTAGGTGATAAACAGAAATGAGTAAGTTATGGTCCCTGCTCTCAAAGGAATTACAGCTTGAGAACACATTCATAAGAAACTAACCGTAGTTAGGATGTGATACTTCCTTGAAGTCCCTAAGTTGGACCTGCTAATTTAGCACTTTCTCTTTTGGGAGGTCCTTGCTACATTTTGTAGCTAGGGTATAAGAAAAAAGGAAGAAGGAACTTCAACATTGTATCTCAGTGCTCTCACACAGAATGTGAGAAGGCATTTACAAATCTGTAGTGTCTAGATTGGAAGGCTTGAGGTAAGAGGATGGCTGCATCATGCCAAATATTCCCATTAATCTGACTAAAACAATCAGCTGATCAATAAAAAGCCCCAGTTGTTGGTTTAGCTTAATCACTTGTGGATCTAAATAATTGCTCAGTTTAGTTTGCATTATTTAGTCTTAAAGGCTACTTACCATCTTAAAAATGCAAACTTAATGGTAAGAACCATTAATGAAAATAGTAACCATTAATGACTCCTGTTCTCAAAATTTCAGTTTAAAAAGACATTTCTTTTGTTCAGGTGGCTCCCTGGTAAGCATTTAGATACAAGTGGAAGAACATTAATTTAAACCTTAGGGGTTCTTTTCAGTCTATGTTAGTTTCTTTAAGAATCTAACTTCAAAGAAATTATATATGTTCCAGGGAGAACAGAGTACAGTACATTATTTTCAAAGACTTTAGTTGCCATTATATATATTTTCTTCTTTTTTAAAAAAGACTCATGAGTAACATTTTTCAATTTTTAATAGTTAATAAGCTCAATTCAGATTGCTTGCATTGGAAATGAGAAAATTATAAAGAATTCTAAAGATTTGTCCCAGGGAACATGATTTTTAAAATGTCAGTGGAAATCAATAAAGATGGTTTGATTTTTAATTATGTTAATGCAAAAATATCTGCAAAAATAAAACACCCCAAAAACAACTAAAAAGAAAGAAAAGCCCTCTAGATTTTTGAATTCTGAGGCTCTCAGAGACATTGGAAATGTTGAAAACAGCTTCATTACTTGTACTGGAAGTTTCTGAAATAGAGTGCAAGAATCAACATTTTTTCCCCTAAAATATTCCATCTTTAACGCGGAAGCTTCTAATGTCAGGGAAATCTATGCGTTTTGAGTCATGATATGGCTATAATAGATCATCAATTTCTTTTGTCATTGAATTTAGTAAAGAGGTAATAAAAGAGAAAATTAGATACTTAAGAATTTGACCATTTTTTAAGCTCTAGGAAAAAATGTCTTACCTTTTCCCATTTTAACCCTTGCCCCACCACTACTCAACTATGCTGTTTCTTTTTCTTCCATGGCTGTCCTTTACTAGGAAGTCTCAGAATTCAGTTATCAGAATTCTTTTCTCACTAATGCTTGACAGAGTTTTTGTTATGTTCCTTCCCAGGACTTCTTTTCCCTCTCAGATAATAGAATGCTTTGCAATCTAAGAAAACAAATAATTTGTGTTGAGAAAAGGACAGAACTTCTATACTTGGCAAAAAGAGGCAGTTTAAAATTCCAAAAAGATTTTTCCTGATGAGGCCAATTTGAAAGAAGGACATTTATACTCCGTGCAAACAGTTGACGTTGCCAGTAAACATGATAGATCGCTTTAGCTGTTATTGCTGCTGATGTTTGAACAAAAGCTATTCTGGTCACTATCTATCTTCCCTGTTTAGAAAAAAAAAAAAAAAAGATTTTATATATATATATATGTAGTAAGATCTGAAGTGCCAAGCTAGAAAAAGTAATTTTGCTCCCATGAGGAGGCTGGCTGATTCATAGTAATTATAACCAAAATTATTCCTATGAAGTTAAAAGATTTTTGTAAGTATATATAATATTCAAACAAAAATACCAAAGTCAGCAAAGTGTGTAGCTCCTTTTGCCAATTGAATTATAATTGCCCTCTGTTTATCACCCCCAAAACCATCATGACATGGGTTCAAACTACCTTTCCAGCTTTATTGTGTTTCACTATTCATTTTCTACTCCTACTTCTGTGCTTCCTCCAAACAGAAGAACTGCACAGAAAAATGGTGCAAGATTTTTTGGTTCTGTACCTTTCCTTGTATTTTTCCTCAGCCCATATCATCCTCCTGCCAAAACTCTGCCAATTCTTTAAGATCTAACTCATGTGGCATGCTAAAATAGAAACAATAGGATTATACAGATTTAACACTTTCTTTTTCTCTAGAGGGTCAGGGAGGTCACTGGCTGGCTCAGTAATATTGGGAGTCTTCTGTGTGGCTATGGCTGAGTGCTCTAAGGTGGACACTGGTTCCCAGCAGGGCCAATCTGATTCTGTCAATGAGATATTGGAACTTGACTAGAGAGATCCAGGTCCCCCTGGGAGCACAGTCATCTTAGTGACTAATAATTTGCTAATGAGATTTCTCTTTCTATTGTACTATTATTTAAAAACTTGTCTTATTTTTTCCTACATGACTCTGAATGTTCTGTGGGAGGGACATTGTTTTGCTTATTATTTAAAATTCATTTTAAATTTCTTTATGATACCTGGCATAGTGCCCTGCATGGGCAGAAGGCTGGTTTCATCCCCTTCCTGGAATCCAAAGCATTTCTTGTTGAACTGGTGGATTGAGCATAAGCACTGAATGTGTGGGGCACAGAAGGGACAGGGCAGAGGATTTCATGGAAACAGTGGGTGTCTGTGGGCAGTCACTAGCCATGGAATTGAAATTGAGGTGGAAGTAAGTAAAAATATTTTACCCCAAAATATAGTGACATATTTTTGAGATGGCTGTTCAGAGAGCCAGCAAACAGCAGTAGCCCTGCAAATGTGTCTTTTGGTTGGGAGATTTGCATCTGTAGAGAATCTGCATTGATGCAGTCAGGCCTTCCCATGTCCAGATTTAGGAAAGATTGACTGAGAGTCTGATACCTTGAAAGCTCTGAAAGACACATTTACCATCTGTTTTATCTGAGGGCTGCTACCTGTGGGATTTCATTTACATAAGGAGACCACTTTTTGCTAGCCAGGCCTCCTCTTCTCCTTATCTTAAAACCTATTTTGCCATTGTAACCTGTCTTGCTATGATCTGAGCCCCCATTCTTTCTGTAACTTCAAGATGGTATACAAGCTTCTGCACCCCTTTGGGCATGGGGTAATCACTATATTATTCTCCCTTGTGTGCATGTTAATACATTTGTGTGCCTTTCCTCCAATTCATCTGCCTTTTGTGAGTTAATTTTTTAATGAACCTTTAGAGAGTGAAGGGGAAGTTTTCCCTTGGCCCCTACAAGGTCAATTCTTATCAGCTTTCTCAAGGGCAGCTAACATCCAGTTCTCTCTACAAACCAAACTTGCCATCTTCCCACCGTGAACCGTGAAAATCTGAAACAGGTCTGTTAATTAGTAAGTTTATTTTGCCAAGGTTGAGGACATGTGCCCATGACACAGCCTCAGGAGGTCCTGATGACGTGTGCCCAAAGTGGTCAGAGCACAGTTTGGGTTTATGCATTCTAGGGAGACATGAGACATCAGTCAACATATGCAAGATGAACATTGGTTCCGTCTGGAAAGGTGGGACAACTGGAAGCAGAGGTGGGAAGACTGGAAGCAGAGAGGGGCCTTTCAGGTCACAGGTAGATAAGAGATGGTTGCACTCTTTTGAGTTTCTGATTAGCCTGTCTAGAGGAGGTAATCAGATATGCATTTTTCTTAGTGAGCAGAGGGGTGACTTTGAATAGAATGTGAGGCAGGTTGGCCCTACGTAGTTCCCAGCTTGACTTTTCCCTCTAGCTTAGTGATTTGGGGGCCCAAAGATTTATTTTCCTTTCACACCACCAACACTTGTTCCCACTTCTTCCAGTCTCCCTACACTATTTCATTGTAGTGACATACCTTGCCAATGTCCAAACACTGGCAAATTTTTATTCAGCAGAAGTTATGCATAATATGCCCAAATCAGTTATTTCTAACCCTGACTTTTTGTTTTTTTAACCAATTTAAGTTGGCTTCTGGGGAGCCTGGACTCCATTTAACATTTAGAATTATTAAATACAGCCCAATAATGATCTTACTGCACCCCAGCTGTTTCAAAAAATCATTGTCATTTCATGCAGAATTATGGATACCCAGTGCACTGTTTGTTTAGGCCAAGCAGTCTCATTTTAATGGGGAGCCATTATGTTTGCCTTCAGGGAAGGTTTTCGTTTTATTTACACATGCTACTATGAGAAAAATGAGGTTGTGTGGGTTAAGGGTGATTAATGATAGCATTTCCAGGACTCAGGGATCCCCAGGGAAATAATCTGAGTTCTGCATAGGAGTCCAATGTCCCCTCAAGGTTGTCTGTTGACTAAACAACAACCCTGGCTTTCACCAGTCATTGGATTTTTTTATTGTTGTTTGCTTGCTTGCTTGCTCTGGTAGTAGATATTCTTGTCATTAGTGCTTCATTTTCCACCTGTGTTTTAATCAGGCTTTCCAGAGAATGGAAAGGACTGGACAGGAGATTCTGAGGCAGTGAGTTAACAACTACATGTTCCACTGTCACCACTAAGGCTAAAGGTGGCAGTGACATGGCACCAGTTTCCAGCTCTTCCCTGCCTTCTATTGTCCTTTTAATTATCCTCAAATAAATGTGTCATTGGGAGGCTGACGATCCTCTCACATCTTCTTGTTATTTAGAAAACTGAAAGGTGTTCTAATATCAATTGAAATTATCATTTGTTCTCTTACAAATACATTTTAAGAAATGATTTTGATCAATATAGACTGACTTGGTTATTCTGCCCCAATTCATATTGGGATTATATTTTCTAATTTGGATATTTACAGTAATCACAGTAGTGATGAGGTAGGTCAAGGCATTAAAAGAGAGGAAAGCAGTGCAATAGAGTGCATAAAATAGTGAGAGAAGGAGTACATAAGGGAGAGCCTAAGTGGGGAGCAATGGAAAGTCTGAGGCTGTGCCCACAAATAGCACGAGAAGGAGGCAGATGGCACAGGGATTCCGAGTTAGACTGGGAGGGAACCAGAGTTGTTGGTAAAGTAGGTAGTCAGATATCCAGGCAGACACATGGGGCTGGGTTGAGATCGGCTGGGGTCACACTGATGCAGGAGCTCAAAAGAAATTATTTAGGCAGAGGAGTGAGAGTAAGAGAGTCCTCGGCAGAGCTTCCCTTTAATAAAAAGCAGCCCCCAAATTATTTCTTTTCTAATGAAAAGCAGACTGATACATCAAGCTGCAGACAATAGATAAGCGAGCTGGAAGCTTGCACAGGTGAATGCTGGCAGCTGTGCCAATGTGAAAGGGCTACCTGGAAGCCAGGCATGTTCAACATGGAGGCTTCGTCTTCCTTTTTCTTTGTCAGCATGTGTGTAGTAAGGAACAGACAACATGGTGCCCACCAGGTAGAAAGCCCGTCTACATAATAAAAGATTAGGGTGGGGGTGGCCAGATTCTTGTGTGCTATGCAAATGGCACACCTGGTCCAACCCATCTTTCCTCCCCTATGTAAATCAGAAACCAGTTCCTCAAGCTCTCTGTAAAACCCCATGCATTTCACCACAGGACTAGCAACCCATTTTTCTCTGGGACCCCTCTTTTTGCAGCAGAGAGGGCTGCTTTTCTTTTGTCTATTAAGCTTCTGCTCTTAACTTCACTCTGGTGTGTCTGTGTCCTAGTTTTCATGGCCATGGGACAATGAACCGTGGCTATTACCCCAGACAATGACACTGCTTCAACACCACGAAGAGGAAACTAGGATGTAAATCCAGAGGGAGGGCTGGGCGCGGTGGCTCATGCCTATAATCCCAGCACTTTGAGAGGCCAAGGCAGGAGGATCACAACGTCAGGAGTTTGAGACCAGGCTGGCCAATATGGTAAATTGGCTGGTCAATTTAGTCTCTACTAAAAATACAAAAAAAATTAGCTGGGCGTGGTGGCATGTGCCTGTAGTCCCAGCTACTCAGGAGGCTGAGGCAGGAGAATTGCTTGAACCCGGGAGGTGGAGGTTGCAGTGAGCTGAGATCGTGCCAGTGCACTCCAGCCTGGGTGACAGAGTGAGACTCCTCTCAAAAAAAAAAAAAAAAAAAAAATCCAGTGGGAGGCCTCAGATAACATAGATCATACCTCGAGGAGGAAAGCAGGAGGGCATGAGTACCTTAGTTAATGGGGTCAAACTAAGCTCAGACCCAGGACCTTTATCCCAGCAGGGACAGAGGGAAGCTTGTGATTTTAAAGCTTCAAAGAGCAAGCAGCTAGTGGAGGCAGGCAGATCAGCAGTGTGAGAAGGTTGTGTCCATAGGCACAACAGCCTGGTTTACCCAGATGACAGGCAGAGTCTCTGACAAACAGGCAAAAGTCTGTCAGTGATGAATTGAGGTATTAGTTAAATATTGCCTTCTGCTAGGCAATACTGTCTCAATTTTGCCTCTTGGTATACTTGTCTGTCCAGACACTGTTACCAAACGGAACTGGGGTCTGCTCACTCACCAGGCACAGGAAAGCCAAACAAGCAGCACCAAGATTTTGCAGTGGGAGAAAGGAGGGCATTTATTTGCAGGGTGCCAAGCAAGGAGAATCAGGCAGCTAATGCTTAAGTCCCGACATCCCCGATGGCTGGCAAGCAATGGTTTTTATAGTCAGGAGTAAATTTCAGGAAAGCAGAAGTTACAGGCAAAATCATAAACCAATACATGGAGATTATACATTGGTTTGGCCTAAAAGGTAGGATATCTTGAAGTCAAGAGGGGGTATTCCAGGTCATAGGTGGATTCAAAGACTCTCTGATTTGTGATTGGTTAAGGAAATGAAGCTTTGTCTAAAATCTTGAGGTCAGCAGAAAAGAATATTAAGGTCTGTTCTACGGGTGTGACTTCCACCAGGCCCCTCAGGAAGAAATTTAGAACAAAGAAAGGCAGTCAGAGTTCAGTCTTCAGTTCCCTCTCACGTGAGGTCTGTGTGCCAGTGAATCAATTTGGTGGGGGTCCAGGTTTCTGAAAAACAACTCAGGGATGTTAGATTTTTATCTTTAGTTTCTTTTTCTTTTTTTTTTCTTTTTTTTTTTTTTTTTGAGACAAGGTCTCACTCTGTTGCTCAGGCTGGAGTGCAGTGGTGCAATGCAATCACGACTCACTGTAGCCTCGATCTCCTGGACTCAAGCAATTCTCCCACCTCAGCCACCTGAGTAGCTGGGACTACAGGTGCATGTCACCATGGCCACCTATCTTTAGTTTCTATAGGGAACCAAACATTTTGTGATTCTAGCTTCCTTGGCTATTGTTTTAAGCTATTATTACTTTCTTGCTTATCAGGTTGCTCATTTACTTCTCGGAGCTGGCTAGGTGCCTGGAATTTCCTTGAAGGAACTCAAGTTTTTCCTTTATTTCCTTGCTTGCCTCCTTGCCCTGGCAAGCCTCTAAGAGGGGTCCCTGCTCCATCTCAACACCATCTCAATACCTTCTCAAGAGCAGAGTTGTGTCTTATTCTTTGTGTCTTTACCCTCAAGCATAGTTCTTGGCATAGGGATGTATTTAGGACATTTAATGAAATTACTTCAATCAAGGACTGACTCCGAGGCAATGAACCAGGGGCTTCGAGAAGCAGAGGCCCCCAAATCTGGAGAAGACCTGTGACAAGACTAACTCAATGCTGGGCATGTGCATAATTGCTCTAGGACTTATGTCAACATTTGGGGTCAGGATTGGGCCTAAACTCTGGAATATGGCTATACTCACAGATGTGTAGTAAAGAAACCATAATAGTGGGAATCTGATTGATAGAATTTTTTTTTGTAATGACTATCTCAAAGGAGATAAAAAGCAGAAAATATGATTGTATCAGTTACCTTTTGTTGTCTAACAGTCCATTCCAAAACTTAGTGGCTTAAAATAATAAGCATTTGTTATAGATTTGTAGTCAAGACTGGTTCAACTGGGGCTTGATAGTGTCCAGTGGCCTCGCCCACACATATGGCATTCAGAGACTGGTTGATCCCAAGAGGAGGCCTCAGTTGAGGCAGCCTATCACTGCTGCATAAGGCCTCTCCTCTTTCAGCAGGCTAATTTAGACCTTTCACATGATGATTTCAAGGTTCCAAGTCTCTGCTTATATTTGCTATTGTCTCACTGGCCAAGTCAGGATAAGGGCCAAGCCTACATTCAGGTGGAAGAGAAATAGAGTCCAACCCTTGGTGGGAGAAACTACAGAAATCACACTGTAAAGAACTGTGCTTACAGGGATGGGAAGCATTTAGGGCCACCTTTTGCAACCTACCTCAATAATTTTGTAGGTACTGTTTATGTTTCAGTTGTACAGTTTTATAAGGAACAGAAGAAAAAGAAGATCAAAGACTAGGAGATATTATAGCAAAGAAAATATTCTGTAGGAGGCAAATTAATAATGTGAAAAATACATTTATTTCTTGTAGTAACGTAGGCATGATCTGGGGGGTCTTGGCTTTGCTAAGTAACATATTTGAGTTAATGTGCTGGCTATTTCTGTAATTTTTGACAAATTAGTTTGGTGTCTGCCATGCTTCTTCACTGTAGAATTACTCTTTTTCCCTTTCTATATTTTGTTCTTTGGAATTGAGTCATTAAGTCCTGCCTACCTTCTAAAAAAGGAGAACATGGATGGAGCTGGAGGCTATTATCCTTAGCAAACTAACGCAGGGACAGAAAACCAAATATGATTGTATTCTTGCTTATAAATGGGAGCTAAATGATAAGAATTTATGAACACAAAGAAGGAAGCAACAGACACTGGGGTCTACTTGACCCCAGGAGGGTCAGGGGAGGGAGAGGAGCAGAAAAGATAACAGTTGGGTACTAGGCTTAATACCTGGGTGGTGAAATAATCTCTACAACAAACCCTCGAGACATAAGTTTACCTGTGTAACAAACCTTCATTTGTACCCTTGAACCTAAAAGTTAAAAAGAGAAAAAGAAGAGAATTAAGCTTCACTGTCCATAGGGGCAGTATGTACATATATTATATGGAATTCTTCTGCAAAGAAGAGTTGTTCTCTTTTCTGATTTCTTTTTAATGTCTCTGGGATCTTAGGAATGGCCTCCTTTTCATTCTTGAGATTATTTATACTCTCTTTCTTTTTTTTGTTTAGTCCTGTTTGGGTTTATACATTTTATATACCTTTGAAAAGAAACAACATTAGTTTTAATGAAACTCCGTTTCTATTTTTCTCTGTTGTATGTTTGTTTTCTATTTATTTTCTTTATTGTTTTATTGATCCTACATTCTCTGTTTTACATTTGCTGTTTATTTTCTAGCTTTTGGAGTTGAATTATTAGTGCATTGATTTTTCAGTCTTTCTTCTTTAATAATATTTTTATTTAAAACTACAAGTTTTCCAGAAAGCATGGGTTAAGCTGCAGTCCACAAGTTTTGGTATGTCTTACTTACACTAGTATTTAGTTAAAAATACCTTGTAATTTTCATTGTGATTTTTTTCTATGACCCATATCTAAGATTGTTGGTTTCCAAATATTTGAAGATGTTCTGGCTACCTTTTTGTTATTGAATTCTAGCTTATTCCACTATGCTTGGAAAAAATAATCTATGAGATTTCAATACTGAATATTTTGAGGCTTGGTTTAGGCCCCATTTATGGCTAACTTCAGCAAATGTTCTGTGTATATTTTAAAAGAAGGTGTATTTGACAGCTGTTCGGTGTTCTTTTCTTTTATGAGCCCAAAAGTATCTGAGACAGGTCTCAATCAATTTGGAAAGTTTATTTTGCCAAGATTAAGGACGTGCCCCTGACAGCCTCAAGAGGTCCTGACAACATATGCCGAAGGTGGCTGGGGTACAGCTTGGTTGTATATTTGGGTTACATTTTAGGGAGACATGAGACATCAATCAATATGTGTAAGATATACATTGGTTCAGTCCACAAAGGCAGAACAACTTGAAGTGGGGGTCTTCTAGGCGGTAAGTAGATAAGAGACAGAAGGCTGCATTTTTTGGGGTCTTTGGCCAGCCTTTCACTAAATACACAATTTACATGTGGGAGGGGTAGAGAAATAATCACTTATGCCCTAGTGTGGCTCAGTGAATCAGAGTGAATCTCAGTGAATGATGTAAATTTTTATATAAACAATAGGGTAGAGGAAACAATGTGACAGGCATTTGTCTCAGGTGAGCAGGGGGATGACTTTGAGTTCTGTCCCTTGTCCCGCACCTGTGAAGATAAGCTACCAATTTTTACATTGCGGGGGAAAATCCAACAGAACTTTTTTACGGTAAAGATCTTGTGGGCAAATTGTGAAGGAGTTATGTAGCTTTTTCTTTTCTTTTTTTTTTTTTTTTTTTTTTTTTTTTTTTATCTTTTAGCTATTTTTTTTAGGAATAAAATGGGAGACAGTTTTGCCCGACACAGGTCCCAGCTTGACTTTCCCTTGGCCTAGTGATTTTGGGGTCCCAAGATTCATTTTTCTTTTACAATATGTTAATCATAGCATGTATGTTAATTGTTTTAATTTTGTGTCTCTTCTGACTTATCTATTTTCTGTCAGTTTCTAAGAGAAGTGTGTTAATATCTCTAACTAGAAATGTACATTTGTCTACTTCTTTTAAGTTGTGTTATTTTAACTTAATGTATTATAGGCTATGTTATTTGGTGATTACAATTTTCAGATTGTTATATCCTTATTTAGAATTGACCATTATAAACCATCTTTTTTGATACTTAACAATACTTCTTCCCTTAAAATGTACTTATCTAATATTGGTAGAGTCGTGATCTTTCTTTTGATAAGTGTTTACATAATAAATCTTCTGTTTGGTTTTTTTTTTCCTTCAAACTTTCTGTGTCTCTCTTATAAGCAGCACATAGTAGAAGTGAAAATAAAAAACCCTAAATCTGGCCAGGCGCAGTGACTCACACCCGTAATCCCAGCACTTTGGGAGGCCAAGGCAGGCAGATCACTTGAGGCCAGGAGTTCAAGACCAGATTGGCCAATAATGTAAAACCCCATCTCTACTAAAAATACAAAATTAGCCAGGTGCGGTGGTGGGCACCTGTAATCCCAGCTACTTAGGAGGCTGAGGTAGGAGAATCACTTGAACCTGGGAGGTGGAGGTTTCAGTGAGCTGAGATCTTGCTACTGCACTCCACACTGGGCAACACAGCGAGACTCTGTCTTAAAACAAAACAAAACAAAAACCCAAATCTCCAGTCTTACAAGCTTTTTTATTGGAGTACTTAAATTACACATATTTGGTAGAATACTGATGTAATATTATTTATACCTGTCATCTGTTTCTTTTTTATTTGTCCCACCTGTTCTTTGCTTATTTTTCTCATTTCTTGTTTGTTTTTAGATTAGTCAAGTTGCTTTTAATTATTTTATTCTCCTTCTTTCACTTTATAATCATGCATGCTTTCATTATACTTCTAATGTTATTACAGAGATTAAAATATACATCACCTCAAAGAGTTTTAGTCTGGCTTGGAACTATATAAAATATAAGTTAGATAAGGTGATCAAACAAGTTTGCTGCTCAGACTTGCAGCAAATTGGACACTGTGAGTTTGTGAAAGCAAGAAGAGACAGTATTTATAATCATGCTGGGACAACAGACGCCAACTAGGCCTATCCTGGCCCAACTTCTTCCTATGGTTTTCTCTAGATAAGGCACCAGGTAGTTAATAAAGTCACCATGTAAAAATCACGGACTGCTTATTTTAATCAAGGGGTAGTTCTAGATGCTGGGAGTCAAATAAGATAGTTTCTCCTTGCAGTATTTCATATTATGTTTTTAAACCTTAAAGTCCATATATCTGAGTCTTTTCCTTGTATTCTCAGAAAAAAAGTGTGTGTACTTTGGGGTGGGTAGAAGTAAGAGAAGAGTACTGGGTAGACAGAGAACCAAAGTGGAAAGAGGGTAAATCCAAGGAGGGGGAAACCCATGAACTGGTGCATGGTGTAGGCAGCTTAAAAATGAAGGATGAGGAGAAACGGATCACAGATAGCTGAAAGTTTTTCTAAACTATGAAGCTCTTATCTGGGAGGAAAAAGGCAAGAAACTCCTGGAGAGGGAGCAAGTTTAGGAAGCTACCAGGGTGAGGAGAGAGGAAGGCTAAGAACACAATCAAGATTCTTGAGGGAGAATATAAGGCCAGGTGTGGTGGCTCACGCCTGTAATCCCAGCACTTTGGGAGGTGGAGGTGGGTGGATCACTTGAGTTCAGGAGTTTGAGACCAGCCTGGGCAACATGGGAAAACCCTGTCTCTACCAAAAATACAAAAATTAGCTGGGCATGGTGGCATGCGCCCATGGTCCCAGCTACTCGGGAGGCTGAGGTAGAAGAATCGCTTGAGCCTGGGAGGCTGACATTGTAGTGAGCCGAGATGGCACCACTACATTACAGCCTGGGTGAGAGAGACCCTGTCTCAAAAAAAAAAAATTATTTAGGGAGAACATAGACATAGAACATAGACTCTGAGAAAGCTCCACAATCTGTTGAGACTCTGATTATGCCCTCTAGCCAGGATGATACACAGAAAAAAGACTCTATTTTTTGCAACACTGTTTCTTTCCCCCAAAATCATTATTAGAGCACAGTTGATTATGAGAGCTGCTTTATTCATTACTCTGGGGATATCAATAAACCATATAAATTTGTAAAACTCTTGTCTGCCTCAGGAAATATAAAGAACTTGTGATCAATGTTGAGTGTAAACAGATTGGGAAAGAGGCCCTGAGCAATGGTAATATTTTTACAGAGCTGTAAACTGTCAGTAAATGTATGTGTGAGTGTGTGTGATCATGCATTAGAATTTTTTTCTTTCCATTTCTTATCTCCATACTGCTAAGGGATTCATAACAGCATCAGTTTTTATTTGCATTTAGTAAAGTTCTGAAAAACTCCATCAGCTAAATTAGATAAAACTCAAGTTACTAACCTTGCACTTCCATGCCAAGTCCTACTTGCCACCAGTCAAAATAACAAGGATTACAGTTACTCCACGTGTCTGATTCTTTGAGAAGTTGCTTTTGAGAAAATCCATTTTACCATCAGTGCCCAATTTAACTTGGGTTTTCCTCTTTCTGCCCAAAAACCTCTGTTAGATTAGAAAAATGCAATAGCCAGGCACAGTGAATCACACCTGTAATCCCAACACTTTGGGAGACCGAGGCGGGTGGATCACCTGAGGTCAGGAGATTGAACCATCCTAGCTAACACTGTGGAACCCCGTATCTACTAAAAATGCAAAAAATTAGCTGGCTGTGGTGGCACATGCCTGTAATCCCAGCTACTTGGGTGGCTGAGGCAGGAGATTCGCTTGAACCCAAGAGGCGGAGGTTGCAGTGAGCCGGGATCATGCCACTGCACTCCAGCCCTGGGTGACAGAGCAAGACTCCATCTCAAAAAAAAAAAAAAAAAAGAAAAATGCAATAGCTTGTGTCAAATAGAATGCGTGATTCTTAGTCAGTTCCTAGGGGGTATGTCTGCTGCTTCAATTCAAACCATTTGGAAATCTTACCTGATGCCAGAAACAGGATGGGAGAGGCTAGCTAGATTATTCTACTCTGCTACCAGGCATGGCATTCCCTTTGATGTTCCTAGGAGAGTTTTCCATGGGAGAGGCTGATACTAAGATTCTCTCTTCATTCCAGTAAAAGCAATCCATTTTTCCTTTCATCTGCATTAACATAACAGAAATCTTATTCACCTCAGAAACTTTGCCATGCAAAAAGACAGAAATCTTAGTTATCCACATTTCCCTCTTCTGTTTGTCTTTAGAGGCAGCTGGTCTCATGGAGAGAGAGAGAGAGAGAGAGAGAGAGAGAGAGTGTGTGTGTGTGTGTGTGTGTGTGTGTGTGTGTGTGTGTGTGGTGGGGGGAGTTAGGTAGAGACCAGGATAGGGCAGATGGTCTGTCAAAGGATGTGGATGCCAAGCTATAAAAATCGTAAAGCATATTTTTTCATGACAGCATTAATTTCTTGACAGAATCCATAAGTCTCAGTGTTGGCAGCTATAAAAGTCCCTCTGGGGCTCTCACATGAGTGGCTGTTACCAGGAAGGCCCGACTGTGTAGCCTTTTCTTTCCTGATGGAAACACACTGGTTTATATTAAGTAACCTCCGATTCATAGACTGACATGGTATAAAGATTAGGATTAAAAGCCTTCCATTCTCTATTTCCCTCCCTTTTATAGAAAAAAATTGGGGTAATTAACTGAACTCTTGGAGGATTCGTTGAAAGCACTTTGATGATGGCTACTACAATGAGATTTTATTTAGATTATAGCAGGTGCTCACTGAGGCAAAGAGTGCCTTTTAGGTTTACAAAATAATTTTATGTCAATTGGCTTATCACTGATTAGAGATATTCCATAAAACCACACATATCATCTGATTACATGGTTTATCCTGTACACATTTTACACATGAAGAAAAGTTCAGTTATTTAAACCCATCATGGGAAAATTTGCTGGCAACATCCCAAAATAACTGATAATCAAAATCTGTATTGACACTGCCTGACTGTGGCTGTTTGGTTACGTAGCAATGGGTTTCTTTCAGATGCTTGTTTTGGTAGATGAGGGAGTGCTTAGAGGTCCAACCACCGCCGTAGGTTGAATCCCTGAGAAGCACATTATTTTGCCCTTAAGGTCACCGGCAATAACCCCTCCCCAGGGCTTCCTGCCATGTGCTCTGATTTTCCAGTGAGGGTGTTAAGGAGTCACAGGTGGGTTGCTGTTGTGGCAGATAAATTACTCACAGCTCACTCCTGGGGTGGAGACTGTGGAGTGTAATGTAAATACATGAACTTCAGAATCATATAAGACTGGCTCAGCCAATTAACTTTCTTTTCTCCCATTCCTATTATAAAAGAAATTAGGAATTTTGTTTAAAAATCCAAATATTATAACAAATTATACAATATAAAGCAAAAGTCTCTTGCCCCCATCTACTCTTATTGTGCTGAGATGACCACTTCACTATTTCTTGCTGTGGCTTCAGTGATTATTCCAGACCTTTACATAGTATTGTTATACACTTAGGTATCCATTTGAAAATTTTTACATTCTCTATTGATTATTCTGCAAAACTGACTCTCCTCCTCTAATTGTTCCTAGTTATTATTTCAGGTCAACTCTAAGTAGGCTTCTTGCCTGTACAGTGGATTAACAATAGTGAATACCTACCTCTTTTATAGACTTGTAGCAATTAAATTAGGTAACCTGTGTTAAACATGTAAACACAGTGTCTGGTGCAGAGTGAGTGTGCAAACAAATGTTAGTGTGTGTGCCAGTCCTGGGCCTGTTTGTCCTTAGCTGCATCCTCACCCTCCTCTTTGCTGCTCTGCCACCCACTGAAGTCTGTGCTTACAGAGTTGCATGCCTGCAGGTCTCTGACTGGGCTTGGCCAATGGAAGGCACTGATGGAGGATCCAAGGACAGAGACAAGTGAGATAAATCAGGGTCTTTTTCCTCTTCCTTTTCTTTATCAGGCAGTATTTCTGACAGTTTTCCTTCTCTTTTCATGGTTTTGGCTCCAATGATTATGCCCACCATGATTTTATATTCTTCCAGGTCACCCAGATGCCCTAGGTTCCTATACCTTTTTGTAAGGGGTAGCAGCTTCTTGAAATTGCTGATCTGTTAGTTGCCTCATTATTCCTTGGTTGGTGGTAGAGTCTCTCGCATCTCCTATAAAACCAATTCCCTGTATTAAATGCCCTCTGTAATTTAAAAAACAAAAAAACAAAACAAAAAAAACAAAAAAACCAACTCAGAATTGTTTTGTTTTTCTGGTTGGATGCTGACTGATAAAATCTTAGGAGTAGAACACTTTTTTTTTCCTCTGGTTTTCTGTTTTTGCTTGGAGGGGCTTTGACTAGAGTAGCATTACTGGCCCCTTACCCCATCATTTACTCCTGCTGAGAGTGAGCGATGACTAATGTGATTGGTGAGTTTGGCAGAAGGAACAGTCATTCATCGTTTATCCCCTTCCTTTCTCCTTGTTCTTTGGGGCTGGCCTTCCCGTAGACAGCATGCATTTTGCTCTGTTCTTTGCTTTCTTTTCTTCTCTTTCTTTCTCCATTCTTTGTTCCTTGGTCAAAGGAGCCAGCCCTGGGGAAAGGCCTGAGATGATCTTGCTGCAACTAAATTGGTAGACTTTTCTAATTCTGGAATGCTGTAGTGTGAAGTCCATTATTAGAATACTACAGACCTGATTCAGGTTTTCCAGTTAAAAACTTTGTATTTATTTATTTATTAATAAAGCTGATGTTTTACTCTCTGTCAGATTGACTCCATTGTCCACCTTCCCACTGGGTCCATAATGAGGCAGCAATAGGAGTATCTTTTATTCAGCCTATTCATGTGCCTGATTTTAGCTATGATTTTATTAAAACGATGGTGTTGGCGATCATGAGTGACAACCCCAGCCCTTCTGCCTGCCATGCCCTTCCAGCACGCTGGTGGGTTTGTGGAGAATGCTGTGCATGTGTGTGTGGCACAGTGACATGCAGGCTTCACTTCAGCATGCACGGGTGAGCAGCAGGCAGGCTGGGATCACCCCCCACCAGACTGGCCAAAAGCCATAGAGAAAAGGGACCCTGATACCCACAACAGGAACTTGCACCTTCCCCTAGAAAATAATTCAGTTACTTCAGAGAGCAGATTCCCAGGAGGTGCCTGTGACAAGTGTCTCCTTTATCAGGTGGTGTGCACATATGGAAGTGTGTGAGGTTTTTGGGCAGGCTGGCTGGAAAAGTCTTCCACAGACTTAACTTCAATGAATCTGCCTGCTTTTGATCACTTCTGCCATTCCCACCTTCATACCTGAGTATTCAGCGTTGGCAGTGAACTCTGCAGGAACCCTCACTTCTACTCAGTTTTGTCCTTCCACATGTTTCTTAGAAATTCAACAAATCTCTCACCCATAGCCTCTCTCTTCTTTTCTTTGCCCTGTTACAAATTTATTCTCTTTTGTTTGTTGCCTTCATTCTGCAGACTTCAGGAGAGAGGATGAAAGTTACATAATCTTAAACCCAAAGCTTTTACTTCATCTTTCAGAGCCCCAGATCCTCTTCTGAACAATAGGGACAATCATACCAAATGTTACAACAGGCACAAGTAGGTGCCTTCTGCATATTAGGAGCTTAATAATGATAACTTTCCTTATTATTTATGTGATACAGTGAGTGCTTTCCGTTACTTTAGCAACAATGAAAACAACACTCGAATGAGTTTTCATCATTTCATGGTGACCGTGAGGGGTGCTCACAGATTTCACCATTTCATGGTGACCGTAAGGGATGCAGATTTCACCATTTCATGGTAACCGTGAGGTATGCTCACTGATGTTCTAGGTATTCAGGTTCTCACTTCTGCACTTCTCCACCCAGGCTGGAGGTTACAGGGGCCTGCAGGATGTGCTTTAGCTAATGCAATATTATTGTGAGATATGTGTGCTAATCCTGAAAAGGAGCTTCAAGAGCCAATGTGTGTGTTCCCAAGCCTTTTTAACACTTGTGCTGGTGACCAGAATATTTCAAAATAGTGGCTGCTGGATTATTCTGGTTCCTGAAAACACAACTGGACCCTGACCCATGGTGATATGTAGTATGGGAAAGAAAGAAGTCTTTGTGGTTTGAAGCCCTTGAATTTTGGGGTTTATTTGCTACTCAGCATAACTTAGTATATTCTAAATGATGTGCTTAGATCAAACTCTTCCTCCCAATTTTCACCCTGTCTCCAACATGCAAAAGTCTTTCCTCATCTTCACTGTTAAATTTCACTTCCTTTTTAATGCCTTAAATTCATGCCACTTTATAGGTTTTATGCAAGGTTTTGAATGTGGGCATGACTAAAATTTTTATGATATCCAGCACTTTAAACAGTGGTGGCTTCATATCAGCAACTTTTAGACAAACTGTTTTGCAACAGAAAAAAACATGATTTTGAAATCAGAGTTGGACTCCCACATCTACCCAGTAGCTACATGACAGTAGTATGTTTCTTAATGTATCTAAAACTTAATTTCATCATCTGGAAACATAAGGTTAAGAATATCTAAATCTTAAGAACTGGGCACTTTATTTTGGAAAGCACAGTCTCTTCTCATTCTCATTGTCAACTAGCATCTTCATCTATAATCGGTGTTATCTCTGATTGTCAGTGTGAGCAGACACTAAACTCAATGCGTCAAAGAGGCTCAATTGGAATTCTCATCCCTCTAAGCAAGCTAGAGGCAGGTCATATTTACAGAATTTTTGAGAGCAAGGTCAATATTCCAAGATGCTCCATGCATACTCAGTGGACTGGATAATCTGGCCATTTGTTCCCAGGAATAAGGGCACAGCTATTATTTCTTCATAGTGGGTGGCTAATGAGGCAAGAGAAGTTGTCTGTGTCACCTACCCAGGCAGGTCAAACCAGGAAATGTCCTGTTACATCCTGTCCCAGAATCACAGGTGTCTGCTTGCCTTGCCATTCAGGCAACCACTCGTGGAATAAAGATCTGTTTGAGAGTGATTTGCTGTCACTTCCATTTGGCTCCAAATGGGTCTCTTCTAAGGCTCTGTCCATCTGTTGATTGATTCTGGTCCTCCAGGAATTGCCTGGAGAATTTTCTAACCCACCCCCTACTTCCTCTCGTGGGCTACAAAATCTAATCTTTGTCTCATGAAACCACTGAAAACTCCTCTCTGCTTTTGAGAGAGTTTTTGCTTAGGATTTTAGTGTGTCACCCCACTTAGCCTCAAATATGGCAAATGACCTGGGAAAGCACAGACTGTGTGATTGAGGCTGCCTGAGACTCAGCTAGAGGCTCTGCTAGTTTCTTGTTCCCTGACAGCAGCCCTTTGGAGGGGAAAGCCCTGATTCTCACCCTCTTGTCTGTGCTCAGAATTGGTAATTGCTTTGTGTTAAAAGCAGCTTCAGAATCAACTCTGCCCAACTTTCATGTTTCCTCTTAACTCTAGTTCTTATTGACCCAGCAGCTCTCTGCTGCCTTTAAATACATCAGCTCTGCATTTTATGTGTTTTTTACTCTGTATTTTAACTCTGGCTTTTCTAGTTATTCTCAGTTGGAGGCCGGTCAGTTTTAAGCTACTTCTTCTCACCAGGAAATTAATAGTTTTGCTTTCCCCCTTCTCTTTTGTTTTGACATAAATATGAACATTCTGCATGTCAACTGCAAATTGCTTCTATTGTTAGTAATAGTAATGTCTTGGGACTGTTTGAAAGATTGGAATCTTGGGTCCAATCTTTGGATCTTTGAACTTTTCCAATTAAAATAATGGAATCTTTGGATTCCATTTCCAACCTTTCCAGTGTTTCTTGGTTGTCTTTATACACACACAAAAAAAACACACACACACACACAGAGTATATGTGGATCATAATCTATCCATCTGTATGTATAATTTTTAAAATCTGTAACAGTATTCCACAGTACAATTGTATTTCAGTTTCTTTTGACACTTTCTTTTTAGGTTGACATTAGAATGGTTTCATTAAAAAATATTTTTTAGTATTATAAACTGATAAACAATCTCAAAACATTGACAATATATTAAAATTTTAGTAAATATTTTAAATTGCATTCCAACATGCCAAAAAGTAAAAATAAAATTTCACCTGTTCTGAACTCCATCACATGGCAGAAATAGCAGCAACAATGGAAGAAAATGAGGTCTATCGGAGGTCTCGTTCCATTCTTCAGTTTTCTCTTCATGAGACACTGATAGTACTAACTCCTAAATCAAAGTCAAATAGGGATCCTTGCACTTATAAAATAGGGTTAGTTTGGGGAGAGAACCAAACTCTCAGTAGGAAGGAATATGATGATGATTCTGTGAAATGAGGCATATAATTGGCATAGGTTAAAGAACTATGATGACTTTGAGTCAGGACTTGTGACATAGAATATCAGTTATAGAGAGATTTGGCTCTATTTATATAGTACTTGGGGTAAGGCTATAGATTACAGATGAAAATGGAAAACCTTCTTAACATTGTAGTAATGAAGATGTAGTTCTCTGTGGCCCGCATTAGCGTGTATGTGAGACTTATAGGTTGACTGTGAAAACGTAGCTTTTTAAAATTAACATAAGATAAAATTTAACATAAGAATGAAGAGAAAGTCCTAGGGGTTACTGCAGGACACTCCAATCCCCCACAATTGTGTATGTTCGTAATTCCTTTGAATGCTGCATATGCAGTTCCTTTCCTTAGAAGGTATGAATTGATGATCATGTCTTTGAAATCAATGAACTTCCTCTGATAATCAGCCAATAGCAGGACAATATAGAATAGAAGGTACAAGGTCGACATCACCTTCTTATGGAAAAAACTGCATGTGACACTAAATGTTGTCTTTTTACAAAAGTAAATACAATTTGAAGAAATTTTTGGAACAAAACAATGAAATCATAGCCTTCTTTCCTTCATCCATGACCTCTGCCAGTTGTCACTTATTTTCACAAGATGTCTTCTGCTTGCATACCTCTTGTAGTTTCATTAACATGAATGTACCAAAACTAGCCTGTACCAAAACTCAATTAATCTTATTTATATTTTCCTCATTCTGATTCTTTTTTCTTTGAAGATACTTAAGTAAAAGGACAGTCAAATATTTTACATGAAGCAAAAATAAAATACTTTGGTTTTAAACTCTGGTAACTATAGGAACAGATGAAACTTAGAAGAAAAGTTTGAAGCTAGAAGGAGAAGGAAGGAAAAGAATAGAATAGAATGGTATATAAAGGATGACAAAAGTCTTTTGGTTTAAAGGGGTGGCTGAGAACAACTGTTTCTCTCATTCTTAAGCAACCAATGAAATGATTTTAACAAATAAATCAACTCCATGTAGTGAAAAGAATGAATGACAGATTATAAATTTCTGGAAGGTAGAGGAAGATGGAAGTTTACTGTTGGATAAAACAAAACACAAAAACAGCAGCCAAGGGCATGTAGGATGATGAACAGTAGAAAGGAAAGCAAGCTTCTCAGTGAAACTGTGAAAGGCTTAGGCTCAGCTTGGAGGTAAAAAGGCAGGGGAGGTGTGAGAAGGATAGGGGTGGGGTTTCATTCGCTTGGCCAGCATGTTGCTCTGCAAATGCCTGGAAAACTAAAATGTAAGACCAAATAATGGCCAGGATTACAGTGATTCACACCTGTAATCCCAGCGCTTTGGGAGGCCAAGGCAGGTGAATCACCTGAGGTCAGGAGTTCGAAACCACCGTGGCCAACATGGCCAAACCCTGTCTCTACTAAAAATACAAAAATTAGCTGGGTGTGATGGGCGCCTATAATCCCAGCTACTTGGGAGGTTGAGGCATGAGAATCACTTGAACCCATGAGGCAGAGGTTGCAGTGAGCCGAGATTGCCCCATTGCACTCCAGCATGGGTGACAGAGCAAGATTCCATCTCAAAAACAACAACAACAATAAAATTGTATTAAATTTATCTTCAGCAACAATGGCTGTTAGGCGATGTCAAAAAATACTATCACACGAATTTAGTTAAAGATTGAACTGGCTTTTATTTTCAGTTCTACAATTGGGTAGCACCACACTCTTTAAGATAGAATGAGTGTTCCAGTGAGCTAAACAGAAAAGATCAGCTTTATAGGCTGAAAAGGGCTGAATGAAGAAGGCAGAAACAGAGACCAAAAAGAGAATTGGTTGTTTCAGTTACTTTCCTTATAAGATTAAAACAGAGAGAACTTCCTTATTAAGCTGATTCAGGTTGACTGGATTCTCCTGTTTTTTGGAAAACCAGCTGGTTTCAAAGTTCAGTTTGATTACATAGCACTTAGCATGAGTGACTGCACTCTGGTTTGGTTTGATCTGCTGGGACCTAGTGCAAGATGCTAGTTCAAACCAATGGTATTCCATAAACTTTGTTTAACAAAGACAATACAGAAATGCCATTAAAATTCCCTGGGTGCATTCTTTGGGACCTAGAATTTCATAGCAGACAAATTATCAATAAAATGTGAGAACAAAATAATAATTACGAATAATTAGATAACTTACCTTTACTGTATCCTTCATAAAGGAGTCACTTAAGTATAGACTCTGGCAAAACAAAGATGAAAAAAAGAGAGGGAAATGTGAATTACTAAAAATAATTGATTGAATCCAGGAGTTCATTTCAAAGAAATTCAGAATGACAAATGCTTCAGGCCTAGAAAAAAATGGCCTAAATTCCAACAGGAAGTCACTGGACTCCAAAAAGCATAAGTTAAGATTTATTCTAAGCAATAGACAGAGTGACCAAGGGCCTAAATGACATTAGTGGCTTGGAGAGGAAACACGTGTTTTCTGTTAACAAGAAAAAAGAGAGACAATTAGAAACTCTAGGGAAAAAATGGATGTAAGAAAAATCATTGTCCTAATATGGAACAAAATGTGGCATTAATTTAAGTCATAGATGGACAGTGAGAAAATAGAATCCTTTTCTCTTGGACACCAGACATGTTTTTCTTCAGGTAATACAGAAATTATCCCTTTGTACTTGTGGTGAAAATACATAATCCAAGTATACTACTTGGTTCAGCAGTGATTGCTATTTTCATAGTCATTACAGTGGAAATTTATTGATAGAAATACAACGAAAATCATTACAATGGAAATGCTGTTTATTGTTTTAAATACAATCAACCCTGTATTAGTAAGTGTTCTCTAGAGAAACAGAACCAATGAATCTCTCTCAATGTATTACATAGAGATATTTATTTTAAGGAATTGGCTCATACAATCGTGAAGGTAGGTGAATCTGAAGTTTGCAGGATAGGTGGGCAAGCTGGAGACCCAGGGAAGAGAGCTGATGTTGCTGCTTGAATCTGAAGGTAGTCTGGAGGCAGAATTCCTCTTCCTTAGGGGACCTCTGTGTTCTCTCTTAGAACCTTCAGCTGATGAGATGAGGTCTATCCACACTATGAAGGGTGTTCTGCTTTACTCAAAGACAACTAATTTAAATGTTAATCTCATCTAAAAAATAACTTTGCAGCAACATTGAGACTGGAATTTGACCAAATATCTGGGTGTTGTGGCCTAGCAAATTGGACATGTAAAATTAACCATCACAAACTCAGCCCAAAGATGAAAGATTTAGATATGGTCAAAGATGAAGAATAAATATTAACCTTAGCCACATAAAAGTCAAAATCTAAGTGACATAAAGTGGAAGATGGAAAGGTGGAGGAAAGGTAGTGGGAATTGGAACCTAATGGAGAATAACAGGGTACTGTATAAAGTTGATGAACTAAAAATAGAAGCTTAATTAATATAACTGCCTAAATTTTAAAAGAAGAATTGGAGAGAAGTATGTTAATGTGAGTCAGAAAAGCCTGATTTTTTTTTTTCATAGTGGAGAGTTGATGTCTTACAACATAGGTTTTATAATAGTGATATAAGTACATTATTTAGGTCGAGGGTTACAAACTGGCTGTCCGTAGGCTACAGCTGGTGGGTAAGTGAGTTTTTTTGTGTGTGTATGGAGTATTTTTTTAATTTGACATTAGAAAATGTATGTATTCTATATTTACAGTAAACTACACTAATCCTTTAAGGAGATAGTACCTTATGCATAGCCCACCCCAAAAATTATATTGCCTGCCTGATCTCTGGAGGTATTTATGCCGATAATCCAGATTTAGAATTAGGGAAGTGACCACCATGTCTAAATACAAAAGTGGTTAGAAGTTATTACCTCTGGGGACTTGGGGTAGAAGGGCAGTTCAGGAAGTATTGTTACACAATCTAAACTTTTCTGTTCTATTTTTGAAAATTACATGATGATATACTTTTGATAAAAATAAGCGGAGTAAGGACCTAGAGCAAACTGAGGGAACAGTATTATGCTCGTTAGAGAGAACTGAGGAGAGGTAAACAGAGGAACAAAAGAGAAATGTAAGAAAACTGAGAGAGAAGATTGCAATTTGGAAGATTCTTATAACTGGACCAGGACTTTGGTATACTGTGATTTCTCTTCCAGGCATGTCCCTGTCTCTGGGATTGGGAGGCAGGCCTTCAGCAAGCTTGTGGTCTGTCATTTGCTCTTTAAGCCTGGCCTGAGCTCTTGGGTGCTCTTTAAATCATAAGCAAAGAGTGCCTGGTGTTTTTTTCCAGGGAAGCACAATTGGTTCTTGGATCTGGCACATTATTGGCCTATTTGCAACCCAGAGAAAATGACACTCAAACATAAAGTTTCCCCAGGGTTATACAGCATATCCATGTGAATTCTTCTACTAAACCATGAGATTTTATTTTGTTCAATAAAAAAGTTGCTAATCGGCATTTGTGAAGAATGGACAATTAGCTGAAATAACATGACATGCATGACATGAAATAACCCTGCCTTTATCCTGAGGATAAATCTAATCAGCAAATTCAAATTAGCTTAACTAAGGAATAATGATAAGAAAATCTTGATGCTAAGCTATTCACTGATATTACCATTGAGGAAATTTTCTGATAACTCTAACATGATGTGATAATGTCACTAATAATACTGTGACAGCATGGAATTAAGTGTGGTTAGGCAATATGAAGTGAAATGTAGATGTTGGATTGATAATATATTAAGACATCAGAGATGTAATTATGTACATAGTGATTTTAAAATTAGTTTAAAGGATTTCCTAACATTCAATGCTTCTAATTTGTTGGAAATTGTGTTATCTAACATTTTTGTAATTGGGCTAATATTTTGAAAATTATTAATTTGCTTTTTTTCTTTTCTGTATTGTTACTGCAAGACCCTTGTCATAATCTGCTTCATGCGTCAATCCACATAGTGGAAGAGGTGATGGATAAGAGGTTAGAGGAGTAATATTCACCATCTGGCTTTATAAATAGGATCTGCAACAAGAAGATCAGACTGAGGGACAAGCATTCCTGAGGAATACCTGATTTTCCTAAATTCCTTTATCTCCATATTGGCACATCACCATCCAAGTCTAGAAGAGCCTACTCCTAGGGTCCTTTGTAAGTGTGTTGCATGTGGAGTTCATTGGTTTTCTTTAATCCCACTACATTTTGTACCAAAAAATGGATGTAATTTATTCTGGGGAAGTTACTGGTGTGCTGTCACTGCTCAACAACAAAAACAACAACAACAACAACAAACAAACAAACAAAAATAGCTGCTGCAAGTTAGTTATGGGGCTTTGCTACCCATGAGTAATAATAAACATCATCAACTTCTGTTTTCTGAAAAAATTGTAGACTTCTTTGGGGTCCTCCAGCACCAAGTTTCTACTAGTTGCCCACGTGAAGAAGATTAAAGATAAAGTTTTACTTTTGGGCTTTCACAGGGAGAGTATAAATTATGCCTCCAAAAGAAAACTGTGTGGGGGAAAATGTTTACTTGGATCTGAATCGTATATGAGAACCTCACTTTAGTTTAATTTATAAGAAGAGATAACAGCACGAATTATTAAAATCTAAGTATTGAAATATAAGCACCCTTGATCTAGCAGTGTTAATAGAATTCTCTTTACTGGTTTATGATTAGGCTTAACTTTACAAATTAGTAGTTGAATCTATTCAGTTTCTCTTTTCATCTTTTTCTTATAATCAAGCTCTGTGCTTATTTCCCATCAGTCTTTCACCTGATGGTTTTAACATCAGTTCTTATCTTCATCCCTAATTTCATTAGGATTTCAAAAAAATGGTGTCATTTCTTATTAATTAAAATTCTTCTAAACGTTTTTTCCATTGACAGATGCATTTGATTATTCTAAAATGCAATTCTTAGTAACAACTTACTTCTCTCCCTTAATCATCAATTTTCAGATTGAGAAGTAGGTTTAATAGCCTCTTAAATAGTGAAAAAAATGAGATTTTTCTTACTTTTGTCAGTGTCATTATGGACCCATGGATTTTCATCGACTCAACACATTACTCTCTTCTGCAATTGTTTTTCAAGTTCAAGTTGTTCTTTCAGCCACAGGGAGCCATGTCACTGTGTCCTTTTGTCATAGCTTTAAAAGCTTCTTTGTCTTCTGAGCCATTAAGATGTTTGAAGCCTACCTTTTGTAATCCCTGCTGCAGGAGTAAAATCAGGCATTTGTCCAAGAAATCTTATCAGACTTAGTGTGGGTGGCATTAGAGACAAAATCTGTGTGGAAGAGACACGGCCACTGCTGCTGGGTGACATGGCATAGATACTATTTCATGGAACAGAGCCGGAAAAGACACTTTTAAAATCCTTAAGCTCATACTGATAATTTTCTTTCTTTTTTTCTTTTTCTTTTTCAGCATCTACATAAAGGACACAGCAGTGTCATTTTTTTTTTTTTTTTTTTGAGATGGAGTCTCGCTGTATCATCCAGACTGGAGTGCAGTGGTGTGATCTTGGCCCACTGCAACCTCCACCTACCTGGTTCAAGCAATTCTCTGGCCTCAATCTCCCGAGTAGCTGGGATTACAGGCCCATGCCACCATGCCCGGTTAATTTTTGTATTTTTAGTAGAGAGGAGGTTTCACCATGTTGGGCAGGCGGGTCTTGAACTCCTGTCCTCAAGTGATCCACCCACCTCGGCCTCCCAAAGTGCTGGAATTACAGGTGTGAGCCACCGAACCCAACCTCATATTGATAATTTTCTATTTCATTTTAACATTACAGTATTTTAATATAGTTTATTTGATTTCACAATTGTATCTGTTTTCTAACAGTGTAGATCTTGTTTTTAACATTAATAAAATTAATGCTTTATCCCACAATATAAAAGAAATAGAATCAATGGGAGATATTATTACTAACAATAACTCTCCAGATTACTCTAGTGTAACTCTAGTGAAATGTGAACTTCAGAATTCTTTAAATCCTAGAGCACATCCAACTAAATATGGATAAAGTTCAAAAAATAGTTATGTTAACAGTTTGGTATGTGGTTAGATTCATTTGTTTTGGTTCGTTTTCAATTGTGGGTTTTTTTCAGGTAACTTTTATGTTAACTTTTACAGCTGTGTGTTGCATAATGATGTTCCAGTAAGCAACCAACGGATTGCATATATGAAAGTGATCGCATAAGGTTATAATACTGTATTTTTACTGTGCCTTTTCTATGTTTGGGTGTGTTTAGCTACACAAATACTTACCATTGTGTTACAGTTGCCTACAGCATATAGTACAGTAACATGCTGCACAGGTTGTTAGCCTAGGAGCAATGGCTATACCAGACAGCCTAGGTGTGTAGTAGGCTGTATCATCTGGGTTTGGGTAAGCATCTTCTGTGATGTTCATACAATGGTGAAATCACCTAACAAATCATTTCTCAGAATGTACCCCCATTGTAATGCAACACATGAGTGTATCTTGAAGTAATTTCAGATTTACAGACAAATTTAAAATAATACAATGAATTGCCATAAATCCTTCATCTAACTTTCTCAAAGAGTAAAATTTTATCAGAATTCTTTATTACTTTGCTCTCTTTCTTTCTCTCTGTACATATATTTAAACACTTTTCTCCCTGATCCATTTCAGAGTAAGTTGCTGATGGATTGTCTTTTTACCATTAAATACTTCCTTGTGAGTTTCCCGAAAATAAAGATGTCCTCTTTCTGGTGCAGTGTCCAGTGGTGCACTACATATTGCCTTTAGTCACCATGTCTTTGTCATCTCCTTTAATCTTTGACAATTCTGAAATCTTTTCTTACTTTCATGATCTTGACATTTTTGAAGAGGCTGCTTATTTCGTAGAATATCCCTCAATTTGGCTTTGTTTCCTCATGATTTGATCCATGCTATATATTAAAAAAAGGGGAGTACTATAAAAGTGGTATTGTGTTCTTCTAGTGCATTATGGCAGAAAGCACATAATTTATTTATTTATTTGTCTCTTTATAGGTGATGCTAACTTTGGTCCCTCGTTGAGGTTGTCTTCTGGGTTTCTCTACTGTAAATTTATCATTTTTCCCTTTATATTAATAATTAATAAGTATATTGTGAAGAGATACTTTGAGACTGTCTAAATATCCTGTTTAGCATCAACTGTGCATATACTAATGTTAGTAGTTATTGATGATTCTTGCCTGAAATCATTATTTGTTGGTTGCCTGATTGTAATTTTATCATTCCATTATTTTTCTGCATCTATTAGTTGGCATTCTACTGTAAGGAAGAGACTTTTCTTCTTTTCTGTTTATTTATCCATGGATTTCTGTTTTCTTCAATATATCATAATAAGTTATCACCGTTATTCATTTTGATGCTCAAATTATCCCAGGTTTGGTTATTAGGAGCTCCTTCAAGCTGACGCCCATGCCCTTTTGACAAGTCTCCATTATTTTCTGAGCAGTTTCCCTTTAGTTTTGACCTTCTGAGTATCTTTGTTTTAGATGTGTTTCTTGTACATCACTTACAGATTGGTCTTATTTTCACAGCCAACGTGCAAAGATTTTTCCAATAGGGAAGTTAATGTTCATTGTTGTTTATTCATATGATTGATGTGCTTTGTCTCAATTCTGTCATATTTTACATTATAGTTATTATGGTATATATGCTATGTTTCATTTTATGGTATACTTTCTTTGCCCTTTTGTTAAAATTTCTTTGGATATTTAAGAGGGTTTATAGTTTTTAAGGATTTTCTTTGTACTTATGTCCTTTTTATTGCCTGTCGTCTGTTGTTTTCCAATTTAATCTTCTGATTTGTAAGTTTTAATAGTATGTTTTAACTCCTATTTCTTGCTTATACAATAAGCAATGTGCTATTCAACTATCTTTATTCCCTCTCCCGTCTCTTCTTTTTTAGTTGCTGTGTTCCTACTTATCAGAAAATATAACATGTGTCATGCAACTTCTAACATTATTCTTCCTACCTTATCCCCACTGTTTTTCATTTTAAATAAACCTTATTCAGTTAATTCTGATGCACAGTAGGTGTGAAAGCCACCATTCTAGAGATTCTTGTTCAAGTCAAAAGTAAATGACTGCTCAGGTCTTTGGGTACATAGTCTTCAAATAAGATAAAGTACCTTCTACCTACCTAAAATAATCACATATATTAACATCTTATCCAGAAATAAATTATGAGACATATTGCCAGACAAAAAGAAAATAAAGAGAACCTCCATGGCACATTGCACTGTACAAATGAAATAAGTTTTAAAACATAGTTAACTTGGCTGGCGTGGTGGCTCATGCCTGTTATCCCAGCACTTTGGGAGGACGAGATGGGTGGATCACCTGAGGTCAGGAGTTCGAGACCTGCCTGGCCAACATAGTGAAACCCCATGTCCACTAAAAATACAAAAATTAGCCATGAATGGTGACGCACTTGTAATCCCAGCTACCGGGAGGCTGAGGCAGAATAGCTTGAACCCAGGAGATGGAGGTTGCAGTAAGCCAAGATCACGCCACTGCACTCCAGCCTGGGTGACAGAGGGGGACTTTGTCTCAAAAAAAAAAAAAAAAAGTCAACTGTCAGTGAAGAAGCTGGGAGTCACATAGTATTATAACCCAAGTAAATTCAGGCATCTTGGAATCTCAGCCACATACATGTATAGTGGTAAGAGAGAGAAAGAACAAATACTTACTATTTATGATCTGTTCTAGGTGCTGGGATTATAGTAGTGAAAAGGTATACAATATCCATGGCTTAATGAAATTTGTATTCCAATGAGGAGCCGCATAATAAAAACCATATAAACAAATACATATGCAATAATTACAAGAGCAGATGTGGAGCAAGAGTAAGTAATAAAACACATTGGATAAGTTGGGATCAAAATAATTGGTGGGGATTACAACCTATTTCAACTATTTTTTCTTTTTAGGGGTGGGATCGTTCTATATTGCCCTTAAGCATTTTTTATTTTTGTGACTTAGATTTGAACTTGTTTGAATATGTTAGCTGGAATATCTGTGTAGTTTACTTGCAGAAAGATTGTTCTTGAAAATGTATTCATTCTTTCATTTTTTTTGTCAAATATTTTTTGATTGCCCAAGAGTATAGCAGGCATTATTATTTGATTGATCCCTTTTATTTTACATTTTTATTAGTCAACAAAATCGTTATCATTTTATATGTTAATATTTTGCAAAAGGGAGGTAGTAATTTTATTGCAAAACTGGCCATGATGTACTTTGCCTCTTACTACAACTTGAGTTTGTTTTAAGATGTAATATTGACAATCTTAACTGTTCTTTCTCTATGAAAGATTAAAATGGTTTAATAGGGTTATACTTACCAAGCCTAATACCAGTGGGTAAGGCATTGAGAGGCAAGGATAAGGAAGAATGAATTTAATTTTATGAATTTACAGCTGGCTATTTGTTTTCAATAACTTGCTGGTGATACAAGGCTAAACCACTCAATATTATTCAGTCATCTTGAGCTTTGGTTTTCTTGAAATTATTGATTCAGCATGTAGCACACCCAGACAGAAAAAAAAAAAAAAAGCCTAGTGAAGGCAGAAAGCTTTTAGGATTGCTGCTTACCTTGACTGTTGTATTATATTGGATGCACCAAATTCAGGCATCAATATATAACATTATTTGTAAATGTTGTTTAACTTGGGATGTTGTGAACATTATGTGATTTAATGTGAATGGTCAAATCAAATTCTGTAGTAATAACAATGTATAATTTGCATGCATTGAATTATGAAAGATGTAGAGTAGATTCAGCAGTAACTAGAATTCATAATGTTCTTTGAGACACATGTAAGGCCAGCAAAGTTTTAGTACACATGCAGAAGTCAAAAATAACAAGTATGGGACAGCCTATTTTTTTGCCTTTAGTGTCCCCTTATTCCCAGGTCTTGGAGCTATAGGACCTCTATTAGATGAGAAGGGGACCTTTGGTGGCTGGTGGATGTGATGGAATGAGAACTCCTCAGAGTCCTCCTGGCTGAGTGGGTTAATGTGGGCCCCATATCTCTTTAAAGAGCTCAGCTAGGTGTCAGCAGTGTTCTTGAACAGCTGGATGTGCTGTCTTTCCTTTCTGTTTGACTAAGGGGTAGGAGTTACAGAAAATCAAACACCGCATGTTCTCACTCATAGGTGAGAATTGAACAATGAAAACACTTGGACACAGGGTGGGGAATATCACATACCGGGGCCTGTCATGGGGTGGGAGGAGGGGGGAGGGATAGCATTAGGAGATATACCTAATGTAAATGACGAGTTATTGGGTGCAGCACACCAACATGGCACATGTATACATATGTAACAAACCTGCACTTTGTGCACATGTACCCTAGAACTTAAAAGTATAATAATAAAAAATATATAATAATCCCCTTCCTGCCCTCCCCTCCCCTCCCCGCTCTTCCTTTTTGTTGTTGTTGTTGTTAAGACAGGTTCTCACTCTGTCACCCAGGCTGGAGTATAGTGGTAAGATTATAGCTCACTGTAACTTTGATCAGGCTGATCCTCCCACTTCAGCATCCCGAATAACTAGGACTACAGGTGTGTGCCACCATGCCCAGCTATTTTTAAAAATTTTTTTTGTAGAGATGGGGTCTCGCTATGTTGATCAGGCTGCTCTTGAACTCCTGGCCTCAAACAGTCATCCTGCCTTAGCCTCCCGAAGTGCTGGGATTACAGATGTGAGCCACCTTGCCCGACAATAATAAACTCTTCTATTCCTTAAGTCCACTATGATGAAAGCTGTGTTTGTACAATAAAATTATTTTTAAAATTTCTTCTTCTATTGAATAAATTAAATCTTATAAGTATGGCAACTATTATAATACCGTATCAGCACATGTAAAGAAATTTTATGACAACATTGATATAATGAAGAAAGCCAATGAAATCACTATGAGAAAAATGAGCTTCAAAATTTTTCAATTTTTGAACAGTAAAAATTGAGAAATGTTCGTATTTCCTTAACTTAAAATTATGTCTCTATAAAAACTTTGTCCCACAAATACAAATTTTATAAGAATATTTCATTTATAGTTTAAATTTTAATTGACCAAAAAGTTCTCATCTTGTATACTTAGTATAGCAAAGATAATACCTTAACTAGTCCCAAATAAATCAGTTGTGCTTGTTTAATAAATTTGTTTTCCTAATAAAAATACAATTCATTCTCGTTATAGAAAATTTGGGAAATTCAGACAGGTAGAAGGAGAAAGAATATCTATAATTGTATTATCCAGAAACAACTTCATTAGTATTTTGCTGTATTTGCTCCTTGTTTTTTCACAAAGTCGAGATCATACATGTATCATTTGAGCTACGATAATTTTAATTCAGTATCATAACAGAAACTTTTCCCCAAATTGATCACATGTGAATTTTTAATAGAATTTCTTATAATTGCTATCCTATCTCTTTATCATTGTTCCTTTGATGAAAAATACTAACTTGAACTACAGATGCTAAACTCAGGAGAAACATAGGTGACGGAGGGTCTCTGATGTACAATACGTGTAAATGAAAACTAAGAACTAATTTGAACATAATAAAAATTATGTGCCTTGAAATTAAAGAGAAAAATAACTTACTCTCACAATAAAACCCCAAGTTTTGTGACTTATGAGGTAATTTTGAGCAGTGTCTGAAGCAATATCAAATGACTTTTGAATGTCTTATCTTTTAATGTCAAAGACATGTTGGTTTTACCACATAGAGTAAAACATTTAATACTATGTAACATCAATAAGCAAGATTAACATTTGTAATCTCCTAAAATGATTTCATGATGCAATGCTCAATAAATTGGTAGAAAAGTTAGGATCAAATCAATGAATTTATATATGTTTAATTTTATTGTTGTCAATGTATTAAACTTCTAAATGTTAAATCTCACTTTAGGGAACTGAAAGACACATTCTGTAACACACACAAAAAATCAACATTAAGGAATGTAAGATTTTCAATAAAGCATTTCACTAAGTGATGAGATCACCATGTAGTTGTCTGTTGCATAGTTATTTGTCAGTTCAAGTTTTTATTACGTGATTTTCTGTTTTGGCCTAATAGGAACTATAAACGTGGGACCAAATCTTTTAGCCACCTTTTTACAAAGAAAAGCATAGCAACTCTGGAGATGGGTGAGGCCTACAAATACAATTGAGTTGAACAGCTAGAATGGTTTTGATAAATGGGAGAGCAATGAAAGTCAAGCCCAGAGAGAGAAGGGATGTTGGAAATTATTTTTGTAAAAGAACAGAGACTCACTCAAATGACCTAGAGAGAACTAGTGCTTCTGGTAAAGATATCGAAGCTGTGGTGGGCTATGTTAAAGGAAATATGGGCAAGAGAATCTGTAAAATGTCTACTGTTGACATTAAAATTGATGTATTAATATTTATTATACAGTAGTTCCCCCTTGTCCATGGTTTTGCTTTCTGCAGTTTCAGTTACCCATGGTCAACTGTGGACTGAAAATACTAAAAACAAAATTTTGGAGATAAACAATTCGTAAGTTTTAAATTGTGTATAGTGTCACACTGTCCCACCTCATCACGCCCAGGTTGTGAATCAGTCTGTAATTTGGCGTGTACACCACCTGCCCGTTAGTCACCTAGTAACCTTCCCAGTTATCAGATCAACTGTCATGGTATCACAGTACTTGTGTTCAGTAACCCTTATTTTACTTAATAATGGACCCAAAGTGAAAATTAATATGCTGGAAATTACAGTACAGCAAAGAGAAGCCATAAAGTGCTTCCTTTATGTGAGGAGGTGAAAGTTCTCAATTTAGAAAGAAAAAAATTACATGCTGGGGTGGCTAAGATCTATAGTTACAACAAATCTATCTATGAAATTGTGAACAGTGTATTGTTATAATTGTCCTAGTCTATCATGAGTTATTGTCATTAATCTCTTATTGTGCTTAGTTTATACATTAAGTTTTATCATAGTATGTATAGGGGAAAATATCTATTACATGTTTAGGGTTTGGTACTATCTGGTTTCAGGCATTCACTGGGAGTCTTGGAACATATCCCTTGTGGATAAGGGGAACTGTTGTATATGCAAAAATAATAGAATCATATTAAACTGACTTTGTAGTATGCAGTGGACAGACCCTCAGTCACCCCCCAGTGATCCCTACCTCCTGGTGTTCATAGCTTTGTATAATTCCCTACCCTTGAATGCAGGCAGAGCTGGTGATTTGCTTCTAACCAGTAGAATCTGGCAAAGGTAATAGGGTATCACTTCTGTTATTATTTTATGTTACAATTTTGTCTAGCTAGAAGGCTCACTTTTAGAGACTCTGCTTTGCCAGGTTTGATGAAGACATTGGCCATGTTGAGGGGAGGGCTATGTAGTGAGGCATTTCTTATGGTCTCTAGGAGCTGAGGGTGGTCCTCCAGTACAGGCAGCCATAAGCCAGAGCCCTTGGTTCCACAGCTTCAAGGAAACAAAATCTGCCAACAGCCTGGGTGAAAAGTAAACAACTCTTTCCCAGCTGGTCTTCTAGATGAGAACCCACTCCTTGCTGACACTTTGATTGCAGCCTTGTGGAAAACCTAGCTGAATTTTCCATGCACTCCTGACCCACAGTAGACTATGATATAATAAACATATTGTTTTAAGCCACTGAGTTTGTGGTAATTTGTTACACAGCAATAGATAACAAATACATACTGATTCCTGGTTTAAAAGACAGAGAGCTGATATGATTTGGATGCTGAAAATTTTGGAATCAGAGCCACAGCAGAAAGGCCAGTTTGCTTCTGCTTTTCTGCTATTTATAAGCTACATATCTATTACTTTCCATTTGACTCCTCCTGTTTGCTCTCCACAACAATTCTCCCTTCCTTGTGATCCAGGGAGCTGACCCATATAGATTGTCCTCTGATGTAGGCAACAGGGCACCAGCAAAAGACTGAGGCTGGAAGGAAAAAGGGCTATTTGATTCTTTCCCTGCCAGGTCTTTGCAGGTTAGTTGTGAGGAAAAAAAACACTTTTAGGTGCCCCTTTCCAAACAACTCTATCTTTTGGGTTTAGCTAACCACCCCTGCCCCTGAGCTCCTTCAAGCCTAGGGGTAATGATGGCTCCCCCCACTCTAAGCTCGATGGTTCTGTACCATACCTTGCTGCTTTTCTTAAACTCTGCTTACCCCTTTTTAAATAGTTCCTTTATTAAAGTACCATCAAATTACCACATTTGAGTGTGTCATCTGTTTCCTGATAGATAATACAGAGTTCAACAATGTTTTTTGAATGACACTGTCCAGAATTAAAAGCAAGAAATCTGTAAATATAGATTCTGAGTTGGAAGAAGGGACTTTGTAAGGAAAGGGAGATAAGGAGGGAAGCATCATTCTGTTATTGGTTGTCTGTCAGGCTTTACAACTATATGTAAATATGTCATGTCAAGGAACTTACAGGAAATCCATTCTTAGAAATCCTCTTTTGTAGATTGCAGGCTCAAAGGGGAGAATATAGCTAGACTTCAGTTTGCCTCTGAAGCCTGCGCAGAGAACACGCCATTCTTTTATATTCCTGCATGCTATTTTGTAAATAAAAAGAACATTGAACTCGACTGACAAAGATTAAGAAGAGAAACTGTAAGAACTCCTTCTCCAGAGATTCCAGAAACAGAAAGACAGCCATCTGTCTGGACAGGCAGAGGCACAGTGCCGGATGAAAGATTCTTTGATTTATTTCTTTTTTTGTCCGAGGTTAAAAGCGAATGTTAGTATAAAGTCGCTGAGTGTCACGTGTATCATTCTATTTCAAATGTGTACGATAGGCAAGATGAGTCTGGGAACTTGACACAATAGATTTTCAAAGAATCTGGCTTTTTCATGATTTTGCAAAAGATAGGAACAAGAGCAAGACTACCTTAAGACCAGTTTTCTGATGCCTTGGAAAGTTAATATTTCTGTTTAATATAGTGCAGCTACGGGATTTGAATAACGTGGACAGAATGAGATGTTTAGGAAAGCAGACGGCCTAGGAAGATGTATATGTCACCTTGGCCCCCACTTCCCTCACACCAAGGGAAGGGATTAGGGATTAAAGGCTCTTAACCTTGATTATAGAATATTAGAGCCAGGAGGGATTGAAGAGATTATCTAATACCATTTCCTTATTTTCCAATTGAGAAAACTAAGCCATTGAAAATTACATGGATTTGTCTCAACTTATATAATGGGTCTGTGAGTTTGATGAAGTCTAACTTTCTCTTTCCAAGCAATTTTTTTCTCTTCCTTTAAAAGAGTAGGCCCTTACTTACAACATACACATCCCGAAGTTATGAATTCAACTCAAACACTTCAGTCTCACTGCTCATGCTTCTGTAAGTCTGTGAGAGAAGGAAGAGGATTCTTAGCTATGAGGGGAATAAAATGTTGGAGTCCTCACCACACCAGGCAGGGTATAGCCCTCTCCAAGGTCACAGAAAGTGTCAAAATAACCTGTGGGGCCTTGAATAAACTAAGGCCTTCTTGCTCATCCAGGGAACAGTAATTTCCCAGGCCAGGCCAGCCTTAATACCGTAAGTTGTCTTTGCAGAGAATGCAACTGGGCTCATTTGAGAGCTACCCTGCATCTTCCTGAACATGGTTTGACATTCAGGGGCCTGGAAGCTGCTTTGGGAAAATGGATTAACTGGTAATTTCAAAATACACCACAAAGTGCTTCTAATATGCCTATATTTTTCAAACACTATTTGTGTTTCTGCTCAAACTGCTGTATTTTTATAGTAACTGGAGCAAGTTTTATATTTAAGGACTAAATACACCAATTCATTTTGAGGGCAAAAAAAAAAATTGTTACACAGTGGTAAATTTTCGTTACAGCCCAGACCCTCCCATCTCTTAATAAATTGCTTCAAAAGCACTTGCTAAAGACACAGTCCACACACAGCTGTCTTACACACACACTGCTCATGTGTACACATACATATATATAGACAGTCACAATGTATACACACATATACTCCTGCACATATACACACACGTAGCCAAACTAGGACTCTACCCCAATACCTGGATTCACAGTTTGGTGATCCTTCCTCAATGCAGTGCTCTTGCTCATACATAATGAAGCCAAATAGTTTCTTCTTGGTCCAAATTATATTCTCAGATAAGATGAATTGTTAGTTGCTTATCTCAGTATATAACCTCATTTAGGTGATAAATAGAACTTTCTTGATGTTTAAAAAGCAGTTCAGTTTTTATCATATCCTCCCATGTCGGCAGGTGGTAGAACCTTACTCATGGTCAGCCTAGAGGAAGCATTTTCCCTGGGGTTAGTTTCATTCCTGGCATTGTGGAATTGTCTGTCTCTCTTTCCCTATCTGGGCGAACATCCTCGGAGACACCACCCTTCTCCTGTATCACAGCTGTGTTATCCTTCATTTCTGACCATAAGCTCTTCAGTTGAAGCTCTCTCTGCTATTTCAGGGCCCCTCTCTGGGCATTTAAGATAGTCACACCAAATTCCCTGTGACCCCACATGAAAGGAATTTGGTGTGACTATCTTAGGACCATATGTCTATATTTTTCATATTGCTATTACACTTCTAGGGCATTTCACTTGGGAATAAACCCACAGATTCCCTAAAACTTTATGAGTTTCTGTTAGATCCTACATTCTGGGGGAGGGTGTGGGGCCCCTTTTCAGAGCCCAATCAAAGTCTAAACTTTCCTTGTTTTTTTTCAGAGTCTTGCTGTGTCGCCCAGGCTGGAGTGCAGTGGTACTATCTTGGCTCACTGCAACCTCCACCTCCTGGGCTCCTGGGTTCAAGTGATTCTTGTGCCTCAGCCTCCCGAGTAGCTGGGGCTACAGGCATGCGCCACCACACCCAGCTAATTTTGTATTTTAAGTAGAGATGAGGTTTTGCCATGTTGGCCAGGCTGGTCTTGAACTCCTGGCCTCAAGTGATCTCCCCGCCTCGGCCCCTCAAAGTGTTGAGATTACAGGCATGAGCCACCGCGCCTGTCCTGTCCTTGTTTTCTATCTGTCCCCTCCCTGACTCTGCCCCAACTTGTAGACTTCTTAATCTAGTCATGGAGTGAAGAAGCTTTGCTCTGATGCATCAGGTATTCTAAATCTATTTTTTATGCCCTGATTCCCTTAGCAGAGTTTAGGTGTTCGAAGATTGAATGGCTTCCCCACCTCAGTCTGTTTTGTCATCCCTGCCCTGAGGTCTTGAACACACATTGCTCTTATATGTTAGGGAAAGAGCCAGGGGTAAAAGGAAACATCAAGAACAGAAATCTTTCTTGGTATTTTCAATACATTATATCACCACAGATGTATTAGCAAAGACATTTTATTTTGATAACTTCAGATTCTCAACCCCAGAAATAGTCTATTCTAACAACAAATCTTATAAAACTTTGAAAGTTGAACATGCTGGTATTTAAAATCTGAACACTGACTTGAGGTTATACCAGCACTTTCTCTCAACCTGAGTGTTCTGCAGGCATCTCAGGCTCATACCCCAAAAAGCTTAATTTCATTGCCCCAAACCACAGCTTTTATTTCAATAGTCTTACTGGCTTATGACATCTGTTTCAGCTCAATACTCCTTGATTACTTTCCCTCAGTTCACAACCAAGCAGTGATCCAGCAATTTTCTGTACTCTTGTTGGTGCTTATATCAGTGGTTCCCAAACTAGTCTGCACCTTAGACTCTCCTAAAAGCATGGGAAAATTCCATTGCCCAAACCACACCCAAGACTATTAAAACATCATCTCTGGAGGTGGTGTTCAGGCGTCAGTAGTGTTGGGAGTTCTTTAAGTGATTCCAGTCTGCAGAGAAGTGGGTGTCATTGCCTTAGATGAAAGGACCCAACTCATGGAGATGCCTGGGATCTTCTGGCCCTTCTCTAGTGGTTTGTGACCAAAGACTCACTGACTGTGTGTTTGGGGAATGGGAGGGGTGGGGGAGGGTGTATCAAATCTCAGCTTCCTCGTCTCAAGGCAAGATAAGCCCCAGTGCAATTTGTGTTCCAGAATTCCTCTTGGGATCTATCTGAAGCTAGACTTCTGATACAATATCCTTTTTTTTTCTTTTTAATCATGAAATAGTTTTAATTCAACATACAGGATGAGTAATCTGTAGGGTAGCTTACTCATTACTCATTAACATTCACACACGGAGTAAACAACACAATTGGTATCATCTTTGAACAAATGAACAGTAAAGCATTTTTATTTGGAAAAAAAATTTTTTCCATACACATTTTGTCTTTGCCTATATCTAAATTCATTTAGAGTTTACTAGTTACTTGATTTAATATGTTAATAACTGGCTTTTCCATACAACCTCACAGCATGACATCATGAGAAAATAAAAGACTTTTAGTGCCAAGAATCAGCGAATTGTTAGGAGACTATCTTTAAAATATAGGTAACCAGAAAATTCATAGGAATGCCAAGGACCCTTAAGAGCAGTGCTCTGTGCTAGTTCATCTTTTGGCTTTTTCTTTTTTTATCGATACCTCATATGATACCACACCTTTGCTTAGCATTCCTCCTGCCCTATCCTTCTTTCTTCTCTTCCTTACAGGTTTCTTTTCAGAGCACTCCCTCATTAAACCCCTTGTACAAGGATTCTCATCCTAAGTTCTGTTTCTAGAAAACTCAACTTAAGACACGGGTAGGTGATGACTGTAGACAGTTGGGACGGTTTGTTAATTCTAACATTTTAAGCTTCAAAGAGACTTAAGCCTACTTATAGGAAGAAGAAAGAGAACCAGAGGAAAATTAGGACTAGAGTTAGAATTACAGAGATGAGGCATTAACCCAGTTATGCCTAGTGTTCCATTATTGGAACGCTAAGCTTGTGGGAGTTATTTATATCCTACTGCTCAAGGTCATCACCAAGGTCTGATTTTTCACAAAAATCCTTTGCAAGCTCCAGCATAAATGCGTTAACGAGAGGAAGTTTGGAGGAGGCCTTAGAGATGTTAAAGGATGCCCCTGACAGACAGACAAAATGGACTCCCTGTAGCTAACAGAGGTGCTCAAAATCAGAATAAGCAGCCATAGTGAAGTAAGGGAGCGGTCACATATTGTTTTCTGAGAAAGATGTTGTAGAAGTATCACAGGACTTCCCTTTCTACAGTCAAGCCAAACTGACTTTTGTTGTGGGTGCCAAGATAAATTGTGGCTAGAACGCGTTTCTTCCCTCACCCCCACTCCCCCAACTGGCCATTTGAAAGAAACATCTTCTGGTTTGGGGCTTGAAAATAATCCAGTCAGGGCTCCACTATTTTGAGCAATCAGAACTGAACAAGTTTGAATCTTTCATTTGCATGAATGGACCTGATTGAGAACCAGGGTGAGAACTTTCCTTACTTAAGCCAGACCCTCCTTTGGTTCTTCAGAAAGCACACGTTCACTTGTACTGAAGGTGGCGCCTCCCCAGTCTGCAGATAGTTTTTTATAGAAAATAAAGTTCTCCCTTTTCCTCTGCAGTTCCCATCGTCTTTTCTTAACAGAATAGTGTTAAGAATCTGTTCTGCCTGCTAAGCTCAGTCTAGCATAGTCTACTTGGCATCATATCATTGATTCATTTATTTATTCATGCATCAAATATTTTTAGGTGCCTGTCATATGCCTGACACTATATTAGGCATACAATTTTAAAATGTAAAGACCCCAATCCCATAGAAGCTTATATCCCAGTTATTACAATTTAGTGGAAACAATGAAAACAAAAACTATTATAAGGCAGTGTGATCGTTTTTGTAAAAAGGGTAGAAAATGCTATGCAAGAACAAAAGAGATGCAGCTGATACTGACAGTAGACAAAATAATTTGCAAAGGAGATAAAGTTTGAACTGGGAATTCAAGGGTGAGTTTAAAATATGCATGGGAAGTGAGGAGGAGCTGTCTACATATATGAACAGGGCCAAAGCCTTAGGATTAATTACTCTGTTAGGAAGTCAGCATTCTGTTTCAGATGTGGCAATCCATCTTCCTCCTCCATATCTAAAATTGCAAAAACTATTTAGATATTACTTTAAAAGATGCTTTTTAAAAAAAATTATCTGCAAACAAGAACAGCAGAAAGAATGTAAAAGAAGAAAAGTCATAATTTTCCTCCTGGCAAGAGATCTTATGGAATTGTCTTGGGTGAAGTTAAGAAACCTGCTCTATTTACACTTTTGAAAGCTGACACCTTTGCATGCTGCCTCCAGTAAACAGCAGACAGATCCATAAAATATTTAAGCAATTGACTGCCTCACTCAGGCATGCCTTCTCCAATCTTTTCTACCCGAGAAAATCTCACTTGTGCTGAAAATCCTCTGTCACGTTTCAGATCTTCCTCAAAGTATGTATTGCTGCTCGCGGTCCACAATCACTGTTCCTCTTCTGTTCCAAAATTTTCTTTCACTATTATTTATAATACAGTCATTCATTCAATATGTTCCTGCATTTATGTTCAGACACCCTTCTTCTGAGGCCATTAAACGGATGGATTGGCTCATTGGTGGTTTGACATGTGGGCAGTAACATCTTAAAGAATTCACTGTTAAATATGTCATGATTAGAGATTCCAGTGCTGTTGATTTGAATGCTATTTCATTCTGTTAAAAAAGGATCTCCAAATAAATAAGAGTATTGAGTATTGCACCCAAAGTTCATCTTTGCCCCCCCACTGTGTGTGTGTGTGTGTGTGTGTGGTGTGTGTGTGTGTCTGAGAAGAATTTTCTTCATGATTTCTTTTCCCTAGCCCTCCTACTGGCCTGATTTTAGCTAATAATTACTGCAGTGAGCTAACAGACCAGAAGAATGGATACTTTTAAGAAGCAGTTATTTAGTATTGGCTGGAATATGGAAGGGGAAGATAAATATTCCAAGGTCGAGTTCTTATCTTTCTTACCCCCGTATCTATAGTACATTTGATTCTCAAATTTTGTGTGCATAAAGATCACCTAAGGTGCATATTAAAATGCAGAGCCCCAGGTACTACCCTGGGTGTTCTGATTCTTAGTTCTGCAGTGAGGTCTTTGAATCTGAATTTTTAAAAATATCTCAGGGAATTTTGATGTGGTCAATCCACAGCCCACGCTTTGTGAGAAACTGCCCCATTCATTTCCTATCTCTTCTGAAAGAACCCCTGGTGGCCCCAAACCCAATAGACCATTCAGCTTTATGCATTGGATCTCACTTCCAAAATGCATAAACTTCATTCTTGAAATTTAAAAAAAATGAAATCCTGAATGTAAATACTTCAACACCTTGCAAATCATTCACCAGTCCAGCAGCGTTCTCTGTATGTGTAGTAATAGTGTAATCTCTAACTCACAATAGAAGAGCACAAGAAACCTTTGTTAAGAGGAGGGGATGATGTAAATGTGAGGGTGGTTGTAAAAAGAGAGTTGAGATTTTATTAAAGAGTGAGAGGGACAGCTCTACTTGCTTTAAAAGAAGTGCATTACTCTAAAGAAAGGCAAACCTCTAACTGGATAGGTAGATAAACTAAAAAACAAAATTACCATTAGAGAAAATTATGTTAAATGGAATTTGAAAAGGACACATATACTTGGAAACCTCTTCATAATTTTAATCTCAAAAGATTGTTTTTTTCTGTCTACAAGGAAGAAAAGTCATGTTGTGCCTTGAACAATGAAAGTCACCTTTCATATAAACAGATTTCTAATAAGTAGCCTTTTGAGATAACTTCACCATGTTTCTGAAACAAGCACGCATACATTTTAATGGTAAAAGGACGTAGTGTAATTCTGAAAATGACTGTTTGGCAATTCACAATCTTTTCTTTGTGTTATAAATTTAAACATCACAGATAATGTTTTTCTTTTTCTTCAGAATTTTTCTTACAAGAAACCCTTGGAGGAAAAGTACCCTGCAAAATATCAAGAAGTACAAACAACACTGTGAAGAAGAACTTCTGTGAAGAAGAAATGGTAAGGGTTAAAGGGAAAAGGATTCCACCAGTTTGGGAAATCTGGGAAGATAGATATACAATGCTACATCAGAAGTGCGAGGACTGAGTTTATTCACAGCTGGAAAAGAGTCCGCATCAAAGCAAAGACAAGAGTATTACACTCTTCAAATTGTAGCTTAGAGCAGTGTACTAATGGGCCCTCTTCTGGGGCATGGTGTCTGAAAGGACATGTGTTTACAGAAACTCAGAGGTTGTATTTATTTCCACAGCATCATATTTAAAGAGATCATAGGGTGATGAAACAGAAGTTCTGCAGCATATGTAAAGAGATGTTTTACAGATAAAGGAATAGTCCACATCCGGAGTTCCTCTGCCTATGTGAATCCTGAGTTACTGGATTTTTACAATTTTTCTCCTTTTCATAAATCCATTTAGTTTATTGAACACATGGTATGTTCATGATTAGAATGAAATTGCCAGGAACACAGGACTTTGTTTTATTCACACTTGAATCCCCAGTGCCTAGAAGAATACCTGGAATATATTAAAAGCTCAATAAATATGTGAGCACTTGAATTAATTGGTGACTGCCAAACTATGTGCTGTAGAGGAAATAAGAGGTGATTGAAATATAGTTCTTTTCTTTTTAAAAATTATTAATTGACACATAAAAATAGTACATATTTATGAGCAACGGTGTGATATTTTGATTCATGTATACAATATGCAATGATCAAATCAGGATAATTAGCGTATCTATCACTTTAAACATTTATTATTTCTTTGTGTTCAGAACATCCAAAATTCTCTCATCTAGCTATTTGAAAACACACAATAAATTATTATTAACTATAGTCACCCTACAGTGGTATAGAACACTAGAACTTATTCCTCCTAAGTAGCTGTAATTTTTTCATATAGTTCTTTTCTCCATGAAGCTTATTGTCTTTGTTTTTAGGGACTGGAGCCATTTAAGAGTGGATTATTTTTGAAAAGTGTGATCATAATTCTAAAAGTCACTGAAGTTTTCATTGTGTTCTTGGCTTACCCATGGGATAAACTAGTTTCTCATCCTCTGTCACTGTACACTCCAGTAACATCTATCCTTGCTTAATGTGAAGTGACTTAAAATGAGATTATAATGCAGAATGTATTGGAACTGCTCGAGCCTCTGCATATTATTAAGAAATTTTTCAGCTCTTGTTAAATTCGAAAATAAGAATACACATTATAAAATAATTCATACTAATAATGAAAATTGTCTTCCCTTCCCATAGACTATAATATTACCCTGTAGGCATTTATATTGGGTAAAACAATTTTTCTTCTTATAAAAAAACATGGACTTACTTATAAAATTGAGTAATGACACCTCACCATGCAAATGGCAATGTATGCAGTGAATCTGCACTATATGTTAGACATAATTTTGCTACAATGAAGCCTAACTGATAGTAGAGGAATAATGAGTGCTGAGTAAACACTGTTAACATTTGAATGCTCACTGTTAGGACTGCTGGAGAGTACACTGTATTGAAGTTATATTTAGAAAAGAATACATGTGTTTTGCTCTTATGGGGTTTCTTCTTAGTATCCCTGCCAGATGTCATTAATCATTATGTGTTTATAAAAGATGTGCTTGCTTTAGACAGGGATGCCCCCTCTCACCACTCCTATTCAACACCGTATTGGAAGTTCTGGCCAGGGCAATCAGGCAAAAGAAAGAAATAAAGGGTATTCAGATTAGGAAGAGAGGGCGTCAAATTGTCTGTGTTTGCAGATGACATGATTGTGTATTTAGAAAACC